>NT_187503.1:0-93321 GCF_000001405.40 Homo sapiens | reverse complement strand
GATCACAATTCCCAGTGCTGAAGAAAAGGCCAAACTCTGGAAAAAATTTTGAATATTTTGAGCCAAATGTGAGGACCACAACCTGTGAGAACGGAAAATAAATCCTGGGACCCCAGACTCACTAAGCCAAAGGGAAAAGCCAAGCTGGGAACTGGCTTATGCAAACCTGCTTCCCATCTGGTTCCTAAATAAGATAGCTATTACACAAAGATAAAAAAGCTACATCCCTGCCTCTACCTCCATCGCATGTAAAATGTGTATTCAGTGAACGCTGACCAAAGACAGAAGAATGCAACCATTTGCCTCTGATTTACCCACACCCATTTTTTCCACTTCTTCCCCTTTCCCCAACACCCACACTTCTCCCCTTTACTTACTGAGGTCCCCAGACAATCTTTGGGAAAAGCACGGACCACAGTTTTTCCTGTGGTTCTCTGTTCTTTTCTCAGGTGTGTCCTTAACCTTGCAAACAGATTTCTTGAAATGATTGACACTCACCTTGGTTGTGTTCTTTGATCAGCACCTGTGACGCAGCTTCAGGAGGTCCTGAGAATGTGTGCACAGTTTAGTCGGCAGAAACTTAGGGAAACGTAAGACCACCATCAGTACGTAGGAGTTGTGCATTGGTTTGGTCTGGAAGGAGGAAAATTCAAAGTAATGGGGTTTACAGGTCATAGATAGATTCAAAGATTTTCTGATTCTCAGTTGGTTGAAAGAATTATTATCTACAGACCTGCTATCAATAGAAAGGAGAGTCTGGGTTAAGATAAGAGACTGTGCAGACCAAGGTTCTTATTATGTAGATGAAGTTTCATAGGTGGCCACCCTTAGAGACAATAGATGGCAAATGTTTCCTGTTCAGACCCATAGAAGGTGCTAGGCTCTCAGCCAATGTCTTCAGGATCAGAGAAAGACCTGGAAAGGGAAGGGATTCTCTACAGAATGTAAATGTCCCCCACAAGAGACAGCTTGGCAGGGCCATTTCAAAGTATGTCAAAGAAATATATTTTGAGGTAAAATATTGATTTCATGGCCTCTGTCTGTCATGTGATGCTGCACTGGAGTCAGGTTGGAATTTGGTATCTTATTGCTAGAGAGCCTTGTCAGTCTTCAGATCTCTCTTTTAATGTTGGTTCTGGTCAGTTCTGCCCAAATTCCAAAGGGAGGAGGGTACAATGAGGCCTGTCCAGCCCCCACTCCTCCTCATCACGGCCTGAACTAGTTCTTCAGGTTTCTCTGGAATCCCTTTGGCCCAGAGGCGGGGTCCACGCGATCGGCTGTGGGGCTTAGAATTTTATTCTTGGTTTACGGCAGCTTTAGGGAGGTGCTCTGAGACCCGAAACTAGACTCGACTTTAACAGACACAGACGACCCTGAAGGTGAGACTGTCTGCTGGTGGGATGCTGGGCGAGTTGCTTAATGTCCCTGAGCTGCTATTTGCTAACTGTGAAGTGGGATCCTGGTCCCTGACAGGCAAGATTTTGGCACACGGAGAGCTGGTGCACGTGGGCGGCTGTCCCCTAAACTCGCGTCCCTTCTTTTTAATCATACCCCACTGGCTGCACCTACACCTCCTCCCAGGCACACACCGAAGAGGATGAGCTCTGGTCCTCGAACCTCTTGTCTGCTCCCACCAGGCAGATTCTCTGTTCCCCGTGCCCAGGCAGCAGTGGTGGACACCAGCATCCCGGAATGGTGTAGAAAGGCTGACCCCATCATAGCCAAAGCCTGGGGTTTCCTGTTTCCCTCCTCCTCCTCCCCACTCCTCCCCCGACCCCTCCCTCCTCCACTTACCCCCATCCCCTGCATAATGGGTTTCTAGCTGCCTCCTCTGCCTGCCCAAACAGGACAGGCAGGAAAAACTGGCTTGGTTCTGAGTAGGCAGTTTCAGGGCCTTAAGGAGAAATTCATCGGCCATTAATCAGGACCTTCCCTCCGGGGAGTTGGCAGCTTCAGGTGTGGTCTCTGGAAACAAGCCCCACAAATTATTATCAGAGAACCTCTGTCTTGGGTGGCAGAGGCAGCCTGGTTGGGGTGGGCACCCCGGCTACGGAAAGGAGCAGCTCCCTCCACTTTCCTTCCGGCTGCATGTGGAGAGGCTCGAGCGGGGCACAGTCCAAGACGAGATATTAATCTTGTGTTTGGATTTTTCCTTTTTTTTAATAAAGAAGAAAGATAAGGTATTGTGCTCATCTTGTAAAAATCAAGCACACAGTACATCAGTCTATTCTACAAAGAAACACAACCTAAGCAAAGATTTGTTATAGGCAGTGGCCAGTTACAGAAACAGTAGGACTTCCATTAGGGGTTTTGTATGGGAAAGAAAGGGAGTCAGACACAGACGTGATGGTGGAGACAGGGGCAGGAAGACAGAGCAGCTGACACTTCCAGAAATAGCTGGCCAGAGGCCAGCAGGAGGGAAACACCAACCCGAGGAAAGAGAGACGGGGATTGGGAGAGAAATTCAGAAGAGACTGAGGCACGCACACAGACAGACACACCCACCCACACACAGATACGGATTCAAAGAGACACGCACACTCTGAGTTTCTGAGAGTAAGCCACTGTCAGTTCCTGGGGTGAGCCACCAGCCACATGGACACAATTTCCTCTTTTTGGTAAGTCTTTGACCTGTCTGAACCCCCTACTTAATTACCTATAAAATGAGTCATTGCAAGGATGACAAAGACGCTCTCCTTGACCAAACTCCACTCAGGCTCCTTTGAGCCTTCTCCTTGATGAAGCCTCATCCTTGGCCTGCTGAGCTCAGTGCTAGCAAGGAATGCTGCTAAGGTCCTTAGTGAGAATCTTCCCCACCCTTGCTAACTAACCAAGCTCCTTTCAACAACTTTTCATCACCTCCCTCACCCTGCTCATTGGCTATCCCCACTTGTCTCTGTTGTATTGAGAGTTGAATTCAGTCTCTCTCTCTCCTCTTGCAATAGTTTTTTTTTTTTTTTTAAGAGACAGGGCCTTGCTCTGTCAACCAGGCTGGAGTGCAGTAGCACAATCACAGCTCAGAGCAGCCTCAAACTCCTAGGCTCAAAGGATCCTCCCACCTCAGCCTCCTACAGGTGTATGCCACTGCACCAAATAATTTTTTAAAACATTGTAGAGATGGGGTCCTGCTTTGTTGCCCAGGCTGGTTTTGAAGTCCTGGCTTCAAGTGATCCTCCCACCTGGGCCTCCAAAGGTACTGGGATTACAGGCATGAGCCAACCTATCAGCCTGGTAATCAGCCTGGTAATCACGTAAAACAGACACATAGACCAGTGGAACAGAATAGAGAACCCAGATATAAATCCACACATTTACAGCCAGCTCATCTTCAGCAAAGGCACCAACAACATACGAGCGAAAGGACGGTCTCTTCCATAAGTGGTGCAGGGGAAACTAGATAAAGATATGCAGAAGAATGAAACTAGACCCGTCTCTCTTACCATACACAGAAATCAAATCAGAATGGATTAAAGGTAAAACTGAGACCTGAAAGTATAAAACTACTGGAAGAAAACATTAGGGAAGTGCTCCAGGACATTGTTCTCAGCAAAGACTTTTTCAGTAGGGCCCCAAAAGCACAGGCAACCAAAGCAAAAACAGACAAGTGAAATCACACCAAGCTAAGAACCCTCTGCAGACCAAAGGAAAAAGTCAACAAACTGAAGAGACAACCCACAGAATGGGAGAAAATACTTGCAAGCTACCCACCTGACAAGGGATTCATAACCAGGAGCTCAAACAATAGCAAACAATTAATCGAATTTTAAAATGGGCAAGAGACCTGAGTAGACATTTCTCAAAAGAAGATGTACAAATGGCCAGCAGGTACATGAAAAAATGCTCAACATCACTAATCATCAGAGAAACGCAAATAAAAAACTGCAATGAGGTCTTCTCTCACCTCAGTTAAAATGGCTTTCGTCAAAAACGCAGGGAATAAGGGATGCTGGCGAGGATGTGGAGAAAGGGGGACCCTCACACACTGTTGTGGGAACGTTGATTAGTACAACCACTATGGAAAACAGATGGAGGCTCCTCAAAAAACCAAAAGGGGCCGGGCACGGTGGCTCACGCCTGTGGTCCCAGCACTTTGGGAGGCCAAAGCAGGGGGATCACAAGGTCAGGAGTTTGAGACCAGCCTGGCCAACATGATGAAACCCCATCTCTACTAAAAATATAAAAAATTAGCCAGGCGTGGTGGTGCGACCCTGTAATCCCAGCTACTTGGGAGACTGAGGCAGGAGAATCACTGGAACACAGGAGGTGGAGATTGCGGTGAGCGGAGAGCGCACCATTGCACTCCAGCCTGGGTGACAGAGCAAGACTCCTCCTTAAAAAATAAATAAATAAATAAAAGTTGGCCGGGCGCGGTGTCTCACACCTGTAATCCCAGCACTTTGGGAGGTGGAGGCGGGCGGATCACAAGGTCAGGAGATCGAGACCATCCTGGCCAACATGGTGAAATCCCGTCTCTACTAAAATACAAAAAATTAGCTGGGCGTGGTGGTGCGCACCTATAAATCCCAGCTACTCAGGAGGCTGAGGCAGGGGAATCGCTTAAACACAGGAACCCGGGAGGCAGAGGTTGCAGTGAGCCAAGATCACACCACTGCACACCAGCCTAGTGACAGAGCAAGACTCCATCTCAAAAAACAAACAAACAAACAAAAAAAACACCTAAAAGTAAAACTGCTGTATGATCCAGTAATTTCACTAACTGGGCCTATAGTCAAAAGAAACAAAATCAATATATCGTAAAGACATCTGCACTCTCATGTTTACTGCGGGACTACTCACAATCGCCAAAATACGGAATCAGCCTCTGAGTTCATCAGCGGATGATGGATAAACAGAACGTGGTGTGTATACACAGTGGAATATTATTCAGCCATACAGAGGAACGACAGCCTGTTATTTGTACAAGATGGAACTAGGGATCATTATGTTAAGTGAAATAAGCCAAGCACAGAAAGACAAACATTGAATGTTCTCTCCCACCTACTAAAAAAGTAGCTCTCGTGAAGACAGAGGGTAGACGCGTGGTTACCAGAGGTGGGGAAATGTAGCGGGGAGAGGGGGAGAAAGAGAAGTTGATTGAAGGGTACAAATACGTGGTTTGATAGAAGGAATAAGACCTAGTGTTACATAGATCATAGTTGACAATTGCCTACTGTATATTTCAAAATGGCTAGAAGAGAAGAATCGGAACGGTTCTAGCATAAAGCAAAAACAAATATTTAAGGCGATAGATATTCCAAGTAGGCTGATTTGATTTTCACAATTATATGAATGCATTAAACTATCACATGTACCCTGAAACTATGTACATCTATTATGCATCAGTGAAAAAGAAAAAAGAAACAAGAACTTAGATTTTAAACTCAGCACTCTCCTAGTGGGCTCCTTAAAAATATTTTTGTTTGGGAGGACAAAGTAGGAGGATTCCTTGAGCCCGGGAGCTTGAGGCTGCAGTGAGATAGTGCCACTGCACTCCAGCCTGAGCGACAGAGAGATACACTGGCTCTAAATATAAATAATATAAATATATATTTATGGAATAAATAAATGAATAAAATATCTTTGCATGCTGGTGAGCCCAGGGTACAGTCTGCCCTTGGCAGCTCGGTGACTCAGCCAAGACGGCTGAACAATCCTCGCCCACTAGACAGTGGAGGTCGCCCTCCAGAGGACCTTATCAGATGTACGTGCAAAGCAGTTTTCAAGACAGTTTTCTATTCAGAGTGTGGTTTAGCCGTTCAGGGAGAGAGATCACAAAGGAAAACCACCTTTAGGAAAGCAGGTGAGAAAGGTGTAAGTTCCCAGGCTTGGGGGTCCTGGCCCAGCCTAGCTGTGGGCAACCCCGGGAAGGCTGAGCCCCGCAGGCTGTATGGACAAAGCATCTCGCTTTCCACACTGGCCACAGGTCTATCCCTGGCAGTAAACAGGTCACAGGTGGGCAGCAGGTCTAACACCTGTAGCGAAAGAACGCAGGAGAGGAACTGAGGCTCTGCTACCAGCAGATGCTCCAAGCACATCCCACGGGGAGGACCATGCACAACTCAGCTGGCCACAACCAGGAAAAGGGTGTCCAGGGCCTCAGAGCTGCTTCAGTGGGGCCATTTCCAGGCTCCCAAGCAGTAATGTGGGTGCCCTCTCAAGAACAGAAGCGGAACAGCCTAACGCTAATGTTTGGGAAGAAGAGAACAGTGATCCCCCTGGTTACCTCCCATCTCTCTCTGCAGTTCTCATGCATCTGTGCACACACGCTCACACACACATATGTCCATCAATCCACTCACAATGTTTGACTTAAAGCAGAAACCATATAAAGGGCAGGATAAGGAGAAAAGACGAAAGGAACTGAAAAGATGCAAACAGCCACTAACACGCCAATTTGCACCTTGCACAGGGCCTGGGAAGTAATGACACGGCTTCTCGTTATGCATCAATGATCTCATGTTTTCATTTTAACAAGCACCCTAATACAAAAATAGGCTTTATAGGGAGGAGAGAAAATATGTTTTATAGGGAGGAGAGAAAAGCCATTCTGAAGAGCTGGATAGGTTGCCTTTGGCCCACATGGAGTCAGCCCCCTGCCCACGCCACCAGGCTCACGTTCAGGGCCCTGGCTGGAGAAACCTGAGCTGCAGGACCCGCTGCCCACCAATGCAGAAGAGAAGGCAGTATGCTTTTTGCATTGGGTGGAACAAAAACAGAAGAAATGGGAATTTGGTGAGAAATAAGGGAGGTGGTCCTCAGAATCTGCAGAGCAGTGGCTTCCAAACTCTGTGATGCAACCCCAGCCAGAAAAACACTTTACATCATGGCTGAGGGCACATACATGCACGCACATATGCACAATACAGGAAATCTGGAATACAGAAAGCCCTGGAATTCCTAAATAAAATCCTGCCCACATGGGAATTCTGCCCTAGCTGATGGCTTCTCCGAGGCCTAGGCCCAAATCCACACCTGCTGTTTAGCCCAGAGCAAAGCCTAGGAGTGTAGGGTCCCCTATGCATGGGTGTCCAACCCCATCCCTGTCCGGAATAGCACGGGTGCTTCTCGGTGCCACAAATGTTGGTGGCGGCTGGGGAGGAGTGGTTCCTCCAAGGCTCCATGCCTGCCTCCACCACTGAGGCCAGCACGGTGGGACTGGGCTAGGGAGACAGGCAGGCTGGCCTACCCACTGAAGGAGCCAGTCTGCTTCCACCTAGTCAGCAGCTCCAGGGAGCGCATCTCCCTCCAGGAAGGGCAGGAGGCCAAGAGGAGCTGGAAAGGTGGGCATTTGATATCATGAGGTATAAAGAGAGCTCCTAGGGGTCCCAGACATCAACTAATAAAAGCACCTCAGAAGTTCATAGATGGGGAAATAGCTGTGTGAATATACAGTGTTATCCAAGTCATGCAGAGAGGAAGGGCTCGAACCCATGGCTACTACTCCCCACCCCCGTCCTCCTCCTCCTCTTTCCATTAAGTTTTTGTGATTATGAAAGTAGCTTACATTTGGTGTAGAAAATATGGAACATATGGAAAAATTTAAAAAGACTCAGGCAAAGGGTCATGTGTCACTTATGACCAGAGGCCGTTGTTCTTTATTAACAGATGGAAATGTTTTCTTCCAAATTGTGCTGCACGTTTTTGGCGAGAGCATGGGGCTGTGCGGCGTCCCCTCCCTGGCGCCCACCTGTGCCCTGCACACTGGCCTGCACTGTGGTGATCTCGCTTGGCCCCCACCTGATTCCCGACATACAGCAGAGGAAGCTTAGGCTCAGGTGGAATAGCCTCAACTGATTCTGTCCCTGAACTTCCGTACACAGCCCTGGAGTCGTCTTAGAGCCATGATTTATTTAACTGTTCTTTCATTTTACAGAACATAAAATGTATTGTTTCCAACTTTTTTCCTATGGTAAATAATACTAAAGTAAATATCTCTGTGCATGAATCTTTTTGTATATGTTGGAATATCCTTAAGATAAGGCCCCAGAACTAAAAGTACCCTGTCAAAAGGTGAGCATTTCCGGTTCCCCTGCTGTGCTTTGCTGCGTTGTTCTCTCCTGCTGCAACGTTCTCACTCCACAATCCTGGGGCAGGGAGGGGAGGCCCAGCTGAGTTTGGATCATAATCCTGAAAGACACAATCCCAAGCACCATAATGTGGAATGTTGAAATCCCTAAAGATCAAAATCCCTCAAGTCTAAAATCCCTGATATTTCAGATGACCACAGCTACAGGGCTAGGTGCACACAATTAGTAACCGTAGCGATATACGTGTACACGTTTCTCTTTTGACTTATTTCTTTATGGTCTGTCTTCTTATAACTGCTACACCCATGCCGCCGTCGTTAGTTACCTCAGTGTTTATGCAAAAATACCTGTTATCATTGCCTATTTTATTGTGTAAAGTGGCCTATGAAATGTTCTGTTGTGTTTTTATGTTTCTCAAATACATACCTTTTAAAAATGTAAATAAATAACATCGACATTATTTTTTCCAGATTTATACTTTTGGGATTTTGATCTTTGGGATTTCAGGATGAGGTATTCGGAGCTGTGTCTTTGGGGATGATGACTGGCTCCTGTGCCGTCCCACCCGTCTTTGCGGCATGGGACCTTGGCATCCCCACCTCGGCCCTGGCTCTACCTGACCTCACAATGGACCAGGCCAACTCAGTCAATGTGGAGGCAGCATCAGGTAGACCTGGGGCTGAAACTCAACACTGGTGTTCACCTTGACCTAGCTTCTCTGAGCCTCAAGTTCCTCATCTGGACACCAGTGGGGTTAGGGGCTGAGGCACATCAGCACTAAGCAGGAGAGCTCATCGTTGCCATGCATCAGCTGTGGCTCTAGAGCCGAGACGCTCCCAGCCGTGTAGGCTTCCCAGCAGTGCAGGCCCCTCTCTAGAGCTGAGATGCTCCCGGCAGTGCAGGCCCCTCTCTAGAGCCGAGACGCTCCCAGCCGTGTAGGCCCCTCTAGAGCCAAGACGCTGCAGGGTTAATCAGGGCTGCCCAACAGTCCATCCCCTCTTCTCTCTCTGAAATCAAGAAACATTCCGAATTCCAAAATGCAACTGGTCCCAAGTGTTTCAGTTAAGGGACTGTGGCCCTGTGTAATGCCAGGCAGTGACAAGGACTGTGACTGGGAGCCATCGTAAGTCGATGCTGAATGCCAAAGGGAGGAAAGGAGGCAGCGGTCCTTAAAGGGCCCACTGAGCTCAGATCCCACGCCTGAGCCTCCGCCTCTCCGTGCAGTCCCGGAGATGGCACACAGCCTTCTGCACGAACCGCAATGAGCTGGGCTCCCTCATCACCGCTAGGAGCACTCTGAGAAAGCAGGGCCATTCCACGGGGTTCTGCAGGAGAACGGCGAAGGGTGCTGTTCAACCTGCTCAGTCAGTTGCTAGGTGAGGAGAATTTAGTATTCATAAGTGAAAATTTCTAAGTTACTGGAATTAATTATGGGGTTTGATTCTACATCATCCAGAAAAGCCTGGATGCCACACAGACTCAAGGCTGAAAGCTCCCAGTGCACCTGCACAAACACACCCACACATGCACCCATATCATATACACACGTGCAAACATGTTCACATTCACACTCACTCCTACACACTCGGATCATATACACATTTGTGCACACGTGTTCATATTCACACTCCTACACACCCAGATCATACACACATACACACACTTGTGCATACACATTCATGCTCACTCCCACACACCCAGATCATATACACACTCGTGCACACATGCTCACATTCACAATCACTCATACCCAGATCATACACACACTTATGCACACATTCACACTCACTCATACATACACAGATCATATACATACTTGCGCATACGTGTTCGTATTCACACTCCTACACACCCAGATCATACACACATACACACACTTGTGCATACACATTCATGCTCACTCCTACACACCCAGATCATATATACACTCGTGCACACATGTTCACATTCATGCTCACTCATACACACCGATTGTACACTCGTGCACACATTCACACTCATACACACCCATATCATATATTCATGCACACATGTTCACATTCATGCTCACTCATACACACCCAGATCATATATACACTCGTGCACACATTCACACTCATACACACCCAAATCATACTCACATTCATGCACACATGTTCACTCATGCTCACTCATACACACCCAGATCATATATACACTCGTGCACACATGTTCACATTCACTCATACACAGCCCAAAATATACACATTAATGCACACAATACATATTCATACTTGCACACAACCAAATCATATACCCACTCACACACACATGTTCACATTCACACTCATACACACTCAGATCATAAATACATATGTACACATTCACATTCATACCCCCAAATCATACGCACACTAGTGTATACATGTACACACTCACACACAAATCATACACACTCATACACACAGTCACACTCACACATACCCCCAAATCATATACACACTCATGCACACCGTCACACATATAATCCAAACACACAAAAATATATGCATGCGCTCATTCATACACAATCTCACACATACATATACAGCCATGTGGGATTTTTCTGCCATTTTCAGAAATGTAAATTTTGTAGTTCCTGCTTTTTAAAGACTATAAATTATTTTTAATTTACCTTCATTCTCAATTTTGTTTGTTATAAGTAGCTTGATTGTCATACAGCATCCAACGACGCATATTTCCTTTATTTTTTTTGAGATGGAGTCTTGCTCTGTCACCCAGGCTGGAGTGCAGGGGCGCGATCTCGGCTCACTGCAACCTCTGCCTCCCGGGTTCAAGTGATTCTCCTGCCTCAGCCTCCCGAGTAGCTGGGATTACAGATGCCCATCACCACGCCCAGCTAATTTTTGTATTCTTAGTAGAGACGGGGTTTCACCATGTTGGCTAGGCTGGTCTTGAACTCCTGACCTCATGATCCACCTGCCTCGGCCTCCCAAAGTGCTGGGATTACAGGTGCGAGCCACCGTGCTCTGCATATTTTCACGTTAAAAATGTTTTATTTAAAAAAAAAAAAAAAGATGTCCAGAAGAGTTGCAAAGACAGTACAGCAACTTCCCACAGACCCGTTCACCAGCTTCCTCTCACTTGAGCATCTTACACAGCAATGAGGCACGTGTGGAAACTGCGACACTCACATGGGTGCCATCTCAGCAGCTCACGGTGTAGAAACTGCGACACTCACATGGGTGCCATCTCAGCAGCTCACGGTGTGGAAACTGCGACACTCACATGGGTGCCATCTCAGCAGCTCACGGTGTAGAAACTGCGACACTCACATGGGTGCCATCTCAGCAGCTCACGGTGTAGAAACTGCGACACTCACGCGGGTGCCATCTCAGCAGCTCACGGTGTGGAAACTGCGACACTCACGCGGGTGCCGTCTCAGCAGCTCACGGTGTGGAAACTGCGACACTCACGCGGGTGCCGTCTCAGCAGCTCACGGTGTGGAAACTGCGACACTCACGCGGGTGCCGTCTCAGCAGCTCATGGTGTGGAAACTGCGACACTCACGCGGGTGCCGTCTCAGCAGCTCACGGTGTGGAAACTGCGACACTCACGCGGGTGCCGTCTCAGCAGCTCACGGTGTGGAAACTGCGACACTCACGCGGGTGCCGTCTCAGCAGCTCACGGTGTGGAAACTGCGACACTCACGCGGGTGCCGTCTCAGCAGCTCACGGTGTGGAAACTGCGACACTCACGCGGGTGCCGTCTCAGCAGCTCACGGTGTGGAAACTGCGACACTCACGCGGGTGCCGTCTCAGCAGCTCACGGTGTGGAAACTGCGACACTCACGCGGGTGCCGTCTCAGCAGCTCACGGTGTGGAAACTGCGACACTCACGCGGGTGCCGTCTCAGCAGCTCACGGTGTGGAAACTGCGACACTCACGCGGGTGCCGTCTCAGCAGCTCACGGTGTGGAAACTGCGACACTCACGCGGGTGCCGTCTCAGCAGCTCACGGTGTGGAAACTGCGACACTCACGCGGGTGCCGTCTCAGCAGCTCACGGTGTGGAAACTGCGACACTCACGCGGGTGCCGTCTCAGCAGCTCACGGTGTGGAAACTGCGACACTCACGCGGGTGCCGTCTCAGCAGCTCACGGTGTGGAAACTGCGACACTCACGCGGGTGCCGTCTCAGCAGCTCACGGTGTGGAAACTGCGACACTCACGCGGGTGCCGTCTCAGCAGCTCACGGTGTGGAAACTGCGACACTCACGCGGGTGCCGTCTCAGCAGCTCACGGTGTGGAAACTGCGACACTCACGCGGGTGCCGTCTCAGCAGCTCACGGTGTGGAAACTGCGACACTCACGCGGGTGCCGTCTCAGCAGCTCACGGTGTGGAAACTGCGACACTCACGCGGGTGCCGTCTCAGCAGCTCACGGTGTGGAAACTGCGACACTCACGCGGGTGCCGTCTCAGCAGCTCACGGTGTGGAAACTGCGACACTCACGCGGGTGCCGTCTCAGCAGCTCACGGTGTGGAAACTGCGACACTCACGCGGGTGCCGTCTCAGCAGCTCACGGTGTGGAAACTGCGACACTCACGCGGGTGCCGTCTCAGCAGCTCACGGTGTGGAAACTGCGACACTCACGCGGGTGCCGTCTCAGCAGCTCACGGTGTGGAAACTGCGACACTCACGCGGGTGCCGTCTCAGCAGCTCACGGTGTGGAAACTGCGGCACTCACGCGGGTGCCGTCTCAGCAGCTCACGGTGTGGAAACTGCGACACTCACGCGGGTGCCGTCTCAGCAGCTCACGGTGTGGAAACTGCGACACTCACGCGGGTGCCGTCTCAGCAGCTCACGGTGTGGAAACTGCGACACTCACGCGGGTGCCGTCTCAGCAGCTCACGGTGTGGAAACTGCGACACTCACGCGGGTGCCGTCTCAGCAGCTCACGGTGTGGAAACTGCGACACTCACGCGGGTGCCGTCTCAGCAGCTCACGGTGTGGAAACTGCGACACTCACGCGGGTGCCGTCTCAGCAGCTCACGGTGTGGAAACTGCGACACTCACGCGGGTGCCGTCTCAGCAGCTCACGGTGTGGAAACTGCGACACTCACGCGGGTGCCGTCTCAGCAGCTCACGGTGTGGAAACTGCGGCACTCACGCGGGTGCCGTCTCAGCAGCTCACGGTGTGGAAACTGCGGCACTCACGCGGGTGCCGTCTCAGCAGCTCACGGTGTGGAAACTGCGGCACTCACGCGGGTGCCGTCTCAGCAGCTCACGGTGTGGAAACTGCGACACTCACGCGGGTGCCGTCTCAGCAGCTCACGGTGTGGAAACTGCGACACTCACGCGGGTGCCGTCTCAGCAGCTCACGGTGTGGAAACTGCGACACTCACGCGGGTGCCGTCTCAGCAGCTCACGGTGTGGAAACTGCGACACTCACACGGGTGCCGTCTCGGCAGCTCACGTCCAGGACCCCAGGCTGCACTGGCCCTCACGCCTCCTTAGTCCCCTGCACCTGTGACCCTTTCCTGGCCTGTCTTCGTTTCACCGCCTTGACAGCTTTGCAGAGTGCTGCTCAGGTATTCTGCAAGACGCCCCTCAATTGGTGTGTGTGTGATGTTCTCTCTGATTACATTGGAACTGTGCGTTTGCGGAAGAACACGGCGGAGGTGGAGCGCTCTTCTCATCACGTGCTCTCAGGGGCCACGATGTCAACATGCCTCATCACTGGTGGTCTGGACCTTGATCACACGGCCAAGGTGAGGCCTGCCAGGTCTCCCCACGGGAGAGTGACTGTTTTCCTCTCCATGTCCTGCTGGTTAAGAGTGAGTCATGAAGTCCAGCATGAGCTCCAACTCCTACAGGAAGGAGCATCAAAGAATTTGGGCACCGCGGTAATTACTGAACATTTAGGGGAGACACTTTGACAGTATACAAATATCTTCTTTCTCCTTAAACTTTGCACAGGAATTTTAGCATTCCTCAGGGGAGCTTGCCTGCAGCACTGATGGTGATTTTCTTTTTTTTCTTTTCTTTTCTTTCTTTCTTTCTTTTTTTTGAGACAGAGTTTTGCTCTTATTGCCCAGGCTGGAGTGCAGTGGCACAATCTCAGCTCACTGCAACCTCCCGGGTTCAAGCGATTCTCCTGCCTCAGCCTCCCAAGTAGCTGAGATTACAGGCATGTGTCACCAGGCCCAGCTAATTTTGTATTTTTTTGTAGAGACACGGTTTCACAATGTTGGCTAGGCTGGTCTCGAACTCCTGACCTCAGGTGATCCACCTGCCTCAGCCTCCCGAAGTGTTGAGATTACAGGCACGAGCCACTGTGCCCAGCCTGATGGTGATTTTCCCTATTTACTCCACATTTCTTGTTTGGAATTTGTTCCAAGAAAGGCCTGTCCCTTTCAGTTTTTTGTTTTCTTTTGTTTTGTTTTGTTTTTGAGACAGAGTCTTGCTCTGTCACCCCAGCTGGAGTGCATTGGCGTGATCTTGGCTCACTGCAAGCTCCACCTCCCGGGCTCACACCATTCTCCTGCCTCAGCCTCCCCAGTAGCTGGGACTACAGGCGCTCGCCACCTCGCCCGGCTACCCTTTCAGTTTTAATTTATTCAATAATTTATTTATATGCTTACGAATCCATGGACATTCATTTTATTCTTTGGGGCATAATCCGATTTGTGTGTGTGTGTGTGTGTATGTCTGTGTGAGTGTGTGTGCACTCAAATCATTGTAGCTGTGGCCACTGGGAGCTCTTACATTTTGGGTTCCATGCCCTTTTGAAATGCCCACAGCTTTTTAAAAATTTTATTTTTGAGCATTTTCTTACTTCCTGGGACTACAAGATGCTCCAGGTTCATCTTGTATTTTCTCTCCCACATCCCAATTATCAGCCATTTCTCCAGGGAGACTTGGCTCCTTTTATTGAAGATGAAATTTAGAAACTAACATCTGGGCATGGAATGTGCTTGCTGCTACTGGGGTGTCCCCTCTCAAAGGACAAACCCAGGATCTACAGATGTGTGTGCTAAGCCATGTATGCACACGCACGTGTGTGTGTATATATTTAACCTATCTGTATATATGTATTATGTAAACATGAGTTCCTGCTGGCATATCTGACTATAACTGACCACCTCAGGGTCCATTCTGATCTGTATATATGTATCATGTAAACACAACTTCCTACTGGCATATCTGACTGTAACCGACCACCTCAGGGTCCATTCTGATCTGTATATATGTATCATGTAAACATGATTTCCTACTGGCATATCTGACTATAACTGACCACCTCAGGGTTCATTCCGATCTGTATATAAGTATCATGTAAACACGAGTTCCTGCTGGCATATCTGACTGTAACCGACCACCTCAGGGTCCATTCTGATCTGTATATATGTATCATGTAAACACGAGTTCCTGCTGGCATATCTGACTATAACCGACCACCTCAGGGTCCATTCTGATCTGTATATATGTATCATGTAAACATGAGTTCCTACTGGCATATCTGACTATAACTGACCACCTCAGGGTCCATTCTGATCTGTATGTATGTATCATGTAAACACGAGTTCCTACTGGCATATCTGACTATAACTGACCACCTCAGGGTCCATTCCGATCTGTATATAAGTATCATGTAAACACGAGTTCCTGCTGGCATATCTGACTGTAACCGACCACCTCAGGGTCCATTCTGATCTGTATATATGTATCATGTAAACACGAGTTCCTGCTGGCATATCTGACTATAACTGACCACCTCAGGGTCCATTCTGATCTGTATATATGTATAATATATATTATATATGGACCTCAGGGTCCATTCTGATCTGCATATATGTATAATATATATTATATATGGACCTCAGGGTCCATTCTGATCTGTATATATGTATCATGTAAACATGAGTTCCTGCTGGCATATCTGTCTATAACCGACCACCTCAGGGTCCATTCTGATCTGTATATATGTATAATATATATTATATATGGTCCTCAGGGTCCATTCTGATCTGTATATATGTATCATGTAAACATGAGTTCCTGCTGGCATATCTGTCTATAACCGACCACCTTAGGGTCCATTCTGATCTGTATATATGTATAATATATATTATATATGGACCTCAGGGTCCCCGCTGGCTTTTCCATGACTTCCTTATCCAGCTGTGAGAACCCTGACTCTTACTACTGTATTGACTTATTTGTGAAACCTTAGTATATATAAAAGTAGTTTCAAAGTTGCTAACATGTATTGCTGTGGGAAACAATTTTACCAATTGGAGTTTAGTGCTTAGATATGCAGAGTTATTTGATTCTTTCCAGAATCTAATCAAAACACTGTTTTTGGACTTACCCAGGTCAGCTCCTTTCTGCCCACTCTTTCAGCGCAGGCGTGTCCTGCTGTGGAACACACTCTGGGATTCCTGTGTGGGTCTGTACCCATCCTGTACCCGTCAGGACCCCCGGGCTCTGACTCTTGATGTTGTTCTTGCTCCTCTTGTTGATCTTGTTGTTCCCACAGTGAGGTCCAGTCCTGTGGGGTTTGACAAACACAGCATCACGTACCCAGCTCTGTAGAGCCACACAGAAGACTTTCATCCCTCAAAAATGGCCCCAGTTCGGCCCCTCAGTAGTAAACTCCTCTCCCCTCACTCACCCACTGGCAAATACTGATCTGTTTCTGTCCCGATAATTGTGTCTTTCCATATACACAAAAGTGAAGTCTGAGGGTGAGGCCCATGGCCTTGGGAAGCAGGCATAAGTTGGGGGGGGTGGGCACACAGGGTCACCGCGGAAGAAGATCCATGCTGCCCACACAGCCACATGTGGGACAGGGCAGGACCAGCCCCCCAAGCTGTGAACCTCGCCCGAGGCTATGCCCCACTCTGGAGCAGAACGGCCTCTGCAGAGCTTCCACCATGCACATAGGCTGTGCACAGCCAGGCCAGGAAGGGGAGGGCCCCTGTCTGCAGAGACAGGCCCATCCTGGACAGAAGGGAAAGCATTCCAGGCAGATCCGCCACTGGCTGCTGTTGCCAGAGTGGCTGTGTCCCCTCTGCAGCGTCCATGCCCAGCCGGCCTCCCCTGCCTCCCTCTGCAGCTGTCCACGCCCAGCCAGCCTCCCTGCCTCCCTCTGCAGCTGTCGCTCTCCACCCTCCTCTCCTTTCTTCTCTCCATCCCCCCTCCATCCCCGTCTCCTTTCTCCTCTCCATCCCCCTCTCCATCCCCCTCTCCATCTCCCTCTCCTTTCTCCTCTCTAGCCCCCTCTCCTTTCTCCTCTCTATCCCCCTCTCCTTTCTCCCTCTCCACCCCCCTCTCCTTTCTCCTCTCCATCCCCCTCTCCTTTCTCCCTCTCCATCCCCCTCTCCTTTCTTCATGGCTCTTTCCCTTTCCTGCCACAACTGAACTGAGTGCAGGTGATTTTCGCTGCCTGCTGGCTTTATTCAGCTTCAACTTCTTGACTTTAAAGGTGGATGCAGGAAATGTGTGTCTTGTGTCACACATGGAAATGTTGCTGAAATAAGTTACTCTTCACTGATGTGGCCTCGAGGGTTTTCTGCTGGGTTTCTGGACCTTGTAAGCAAAGCAGACCCTCACCCGACTGACCTCCTGGCTGTGACGATGTGTGTTTCTATCCCACACAGGGAGGGTGTTTATGGTCTGAAGTGAGGCCTCTCATTAACTCCTCAAGAGTCGATTGAAGCACAATTTATTAGAGCCCAGAAATCATGGCAATCCATTCCCACAAGCACACAGCACAGCTAAACCAGATCCAAGGAGGGTCCGAGTGTCCACAACTGCACCCCAGGCCCATTGTGCCTGCCGCTGGAGAGCGTGGGGCCCCTTGGCCCCTAAAGGTTTGCTGAGAAGTCACTGACATGAGACAGATGGATTAATAGGAGAAACGGTATGCAAATTTATGTGATGTGTACATATAAGAACCTTTAGAACGAAGACCCAACGATGGGGGAAATTGTCCATTTTTATGTTTAGGTTTAATAACGTATGAACAGTCCTCTAAAAAAAGGATTGGACACAAAGGGCTTGATCTAATGTGAATAGACTGAGTGGGAACCCAGCAAGGTCTGTCTAGATTTGTCTTCGTCTCTGAGCATTTTCTTCTCTGGACGTGGGGCAGGGCCCTCTCTGGAATGACAGTCTCATGACCTACAGTCAAACAAGGGATGTTGGATCATTTCTCTCTAGTCAGCTCTTATATAGAAAGGTAGACGGAACACTGAGTAATATTTTTAGGTTTTCTGACCAGCTTTGGGGAGAAGGGGTTCTGATTTCTGTGACCGGCCTTGGGGAAAAAGAGAGTCTGGTTTCTACAGCGCCTTCGGGGAGAATGAGACTGAGAGACAGGAGGGCAGGAGAAGGTCAGAGACAACTTTTGCTTCTGAGGCTGCTGCTGAGGACTTCATTTTGGGGCGTTGTTTTCTGAGCCCCAACAGAAGGAAGGAAGCCTCTCCCTCCATGGGTCAGTCCTGGGCCTCAAGGGCACCCTCGAAGCAGGCAGCTCAGCTCACAGAGCTCCCCTCGGCCATGTCCTCCACCTGCCCTTCCTTGGTCCAGCACCTCACCTGCACACACCTGTCTGGAGAGTCCCCAAGGTTGGAGAGCTGCTGAGTCAGCTGGGCCGAGCACACAGCGCAATACTTCCTTGTGCCTCCTAACCAGGATGGGCGACACCAGCCCATTTTATGGATGGGACAAGAAGAAGCTGGGCTGACAAGCCCAACATAGTGGAGCCAGCAACAGGCTTTTACTCTCCTCTCTGTCTCTTTGTCTCTCTCACCCACCGCACCTCCATCCGCTCCATTCTCCTCTCTGCACATCAGCTTCCCAGACAATATTCTTGGTTTCTGTGGCTCCCAAACTGAAGCTTCCCCACAGTGGCTGCAACTATCCAGACCTGGGGCCACACTTGGGCCTCCAGGCAGGGGATCTAGTGATCACATTCTGGTCATGTCATCAGGCCAACTTGGCTGAGCTCTGCCCTCCTTATCTCTCTTCTCCCCTCGAGCCCTCACCCTGGTTACCTGCACAAGTAAACTTGCCCCTAACTGACCCCCTTTTCTCCCTCCATGTCCCTCAATACAACACTAACTCTGGCAAAAAAGACCAGCCTGGCCAGGTGCGGTGGCTCACGCCTGTAATCCCAGCACTTTGGGAGGCCGAGGCGGGCAGATCACAAGGTCAGGACATCAAGACCATCCTGGCTAACACGGTGAAACCCCGTCTCTACTAAAAATACAAAAAATTAGCCAGGCATGGTGGCAGGCACCTGTAGTCCCAGCTACGCGCGAGGCTGAGGCAGGAGAATGGCGTGAACCCGGGAGGCGGTGCTTGCAGTGAGCCGAGATCGCGCCACTGCACTCCAGCCTGGGCGACAGCGAGACTCCGTCTCAAAAAAAAAAAAAAAAAAAAAAGACCAGCCTGAAGCAGAGATTGGGTCCCAGCCTGGCTCTGCCTGGCCCTCTGCTCCCGCTTCACCTCACAGACAGAACGCTGCCCTGTGGAGGGGTCCCCGGACCCTTTGGTGGGTGCCAAGCGGGTATGGAGGCCAAGGCCTGAGTGGTGAGAATAGTCCAGGGGCTAGCGCTGCGTGGGGAGGGCGAGCTCAGAGAGCAGGGGAGCCTGACCCTGCAGGTCAAGACTTCTGTCTGAGAGAAATGAAAAGCTGGGGATTTTAAGCAAAGGAATGCCTTGACCCAACCCTCACAACTTACATAATAATTAACTTAAAAGGAATCATAAGTTTAAACAGAAAATCTATATAAGAGGTTTACAGTTTAATTTAAAAACTATAATAGGTTTATAGTTTTTAAATTAAAATTTTAAATATAGTGGTTTATAAAACTTTGAGAAGAAAACATAAAATCCCTATGAATGCTGCAAAAGTCACTGTTGAGAGAATGAAAACACAAGACATAGAGTTGGAGAAAATATTTGTGAATCTCATATCTGGCAAAGGAATTGTATCTAGAATACATAAAGAACTCTCAAAATCCAACAGTAAAAACACCAAATAATCCAGTTACAAACCGGGGAAGGACTTGAACAGATGCGTCACCAAGCAAGGGATATGGATGGGAAATAAGCTTCCATCAGCCACCAGGGAGATGCAAATTACAGCCACTAGGAAACGCTTTTCATTCATTCCGGGATGGCTGAAATGTAAGCACGGAAAATGCTGGGTGCCCGCAAGAACGCGGAGCAGCAGGCACTCATTCCCGATTAGCGGGAGCGCAAAGCGAAGGGGCGGCCTGTGGCGTTTTCCTGTAAAGTTGGGCACACGCTTCCCACATGACTCAGCAATTGCACTTCTGGGTATGTACCCGAGAGAAACAAAAGCTTATGTTCACACAAAAACCTACAACGCAAATGCACAAACAGCTCTATCCAACAACCATCCCACCCTGGAAGCAACCCAAACACGCTTCAGCGGCACAGGCGCCTCCACGCGGAACCCCACGCGGCGCTCAGCACGGACGAGGAGGGAGCCGCGCACGCGCGGTCGGCTCGGCGAGGAGCCGGTCTCCAAGTGCCGCCAGCTGCGGGATTTCCTCTGCAAAAGACAAACCACAGGGAGAGCTGCCGGGGCTGGGTCGGGGAGTGTGACTGTGAACGGAGTTCTGGGGGTGATGTAACTGTTCTGTATCCACAGTGTTGCTACATGAATCTATAAATGTGTTAAACTCATAGAACTGTACACCAAAAAATAGCAGTTTTGCTGAATGTTAATTCAGAAATGAAATTAAAATTTTAAATTAACAACAAGCAACTTTACAAGAGAAAAAAAAAAACCTCATTTCCTCCCCACAAAGCCACCTCATGAGCCTGGGTGGTGCCTAGCCAGTCCTGCTGCTGAACCTGCTCTGACCTGGCCTAAGGGTAGGACTCGAGGCTGGGAGCCAAGGGCCAACCACAGGACAGGCAGCAAGACCCGCTTCGCTGGTCTGTCACACACACCGCACCAAGTCGGTGTTCAGGATAAACCGGGGCACACTCTGAGCTGGGCCTGTCTCCGGCTTCAACCAAAAAGCCTGAGCTCTGGCAGGTGAAGGACCAGACGTTTCTGTGGGGCTATGGACTTGTCTGGGAGGCAGCCACCTCTAAGCCACCCAGGATGGTTTCGGTTGTGTTTGGATGGAGTTCTGAGTTTTGCCAGTTAAAATTCCCCCTTCAGGAGCTCTCTATGGGGTTAAAGTGCAAGATTTGGGGTAGAAAAATGACAAATCAGACGACTGGAAGGAACATTATGGACTGTCCTCCCTTCTGCCTGAAGAGATGGGGAGACTCTCCCAGGCCATGTGGAAGACCTCACAGGGGGACCAACTGCTGCCTTTCAGCCTGGCCGAGGGAAGAGCCCCTGACTCAGCCTCCGCAGGAGGAGGTGGGCTGGAACCAAGTTTCCCTGCATCAATCCAGGCAGGCAGCCCCGAACAGTGCACTCCAACATGGGATAGTGAGCCAGCTTGGGGGACAGCAGCTGTCTAAACAGGAGCATGCAACCCCCGTGCTGAGAGTTCCCCAGGGTCACGACTACCCAGAGTCAGAGCTGCCCAGGGTCACAGCTACTCGAGGTCAGAGCTGCCCCAGATCAGGGCTGCCCAAGGTCAGAGCTGTCCTGGGTCAGAGCTGCCCATGGTCAGAGCTGTCCTGGGCATCAGAGGCGCAGAGGTGGGAAGGGCTGGCTTCAGGTGGGAGTTATAGGTGGGAGTTATGCTACAAAGGGTCTTGAAGGCCAGTGTTGTTGACAGGGTAGGGTGCCTGGGTAATAGCAGAGGAAGAAAAAGGCTTAGAGTTGGAGGGAAAAACATGAACTGGAGTTGGGGGAGTGCACCTTCCCCCTCAGAGACCACAAAGCCTCCCCAGGGCTGGGCTGTGGCTGCTGGAGCTCCCAGACCATGCCAAGTGTCAGAGCCTGGGCAAGACCCTCTGGGGCAGCCCGGAACCACCAGAGGTCAGAGCTGGAGGAGGCTCAGCTGGGGCCCTTGCACCAGGCAGGAGGCCCAGAAAAGAGACAGTGCTCTTGAACTGCAGGAAGGCAGCTCCGTAGAGAGGCAAATCTCACTCCAGCTCGGGCAATACTCAACTACACGGACGTGGATGCTCTCAAGGGGGCTTTGGGGCATGTGGTGTCGGCATTGGACCCAAATATGGGCTCAAAGCTTTCCTTTACCATATTCCTTCTACATTTTTCTTGCAGATTGAGAAGGGATAGGGAGGAGTTTAGGGAAGTGAGTGAAGCAGGAAGATGTTGACCAAGGGAAGTTAATTCCATAAAGAGGAGGATGAGGGGACAGAAAGGCAGGAGGAAGAGGAGGAGGAGAATCTTCGCACAGGGGGTGTCAGCTGATGGGGGCAGCATGGGCGCCCATGGAGCCCTTTAGGGGTCGTTGGTTGTGTGCAGAGAGGCCACAGCAGGCGAGGCAGGCAGTGTCTACCACCCCCAAGGAGACACCAAGAATCCCTGTCCTTAGGAAGTCCCCTCTTCCTCCTCTTGAGTCTCATCTCGGAAAGAGGGAGCTGTCAGTCAGAGCTGAGGCCAAACACTGGGGCTAATAGGGGTGAGAGCAGGGACCTGTGGGGTCCTCACCGCTGTCCCCTTCTCACTTTTCTGGCTCAGGCCAGGCTCAGCCCCCAGTGGTCTATTGTCTTTCTATCTGTCATCTATCTACCTACCCACCTATCTAACCATGCCATCTATTTCATCTATTTTTATCTATCAACCATCTATCATATATCTACCTACCTACCTTTCCATCTATCATCTAGTTCATCTATTGCTATCTATTATCTAATTTGCCTATCAAGTATCTATCCATCATCTATTTCTATCATCTATCCATCACCTGTTACCTATCACCCATATACCACCTATCCCTATCTATCATCTATCTAGCCAGCAATCCACCCATCATCTACTTCATCTATTTCTACCCGTCTCCCACCCCCTCTCCCCACCCCTCACCAGAGAGTATGCAAGCACGACCACGTCAACAGGCCCTGAAGTCACAGGTTCACACAGCACGTTTTCTGCTCCATCACGTGTATGGGGCAGGGGGCAGCAGAGCTGGGGGAGAAGAGATAAAGGAATTATGTCAAACAGGGACTGTCTTGTCTGCCCCAAGGGCCTTTCCTCATCTATAAAGCAGATTTTTCTTGTAGAGCACCACGAGAGCTGTGAAATGGGAGTGAGGGGTGACGCAGGCCATGGGGCCTTCCACAAGGTGGGCAAGATGGTTGTCTCTGGGGAACCAGCTGGCCAGAGGGGTCCAAGTGCCAACCGGTCTGGATGAGAGCAAAGCAGCAGGCAGAAGGTTACAGAGGCAAGTGTCGGCACCAGGGGTGAACGCTGGGATTTTTCAAATCCAAGAGGCATTTCAAGTAAGGGGAAAACCTCCCCCGGGGCTGGGCTGAGAAGCTAGTCGGGTGATGGGATGAGTGAGAATGACAAGTTGCGTCTGATTGTCCTGGAGACCTGGCTGAGAACTCTGTGTGAGTCTCTTAGGTAGACGGTTACACTTGTTTTCAGTGAGAGTCAGTTTCCATAGAGAACTGCATGGTAGTCACCAAGAACCGAGGGGGCCCAGGAATGCCCCAGCAGTGGTCTGGAAGGGCTTGTGGGGCTGGGCAGGAGGTGGGTGGGGACCGGGTGCAGGCAGAGGGAATTCAAGGGTACAGAGGCAGAGAGATGGTGCCGCCTGGGGAACGCAGCGCACCCAGGACAGAACAGGCCTGAGAGCCACACACACTCACAGCAGCTTCCCAGAGTGTTTGTTTTCTATGCACCAAGATGCTCCCCCAAACCCTCTGCAGCCTGTTCCCTGCCTTGGGGGTCCTGAGGGCCACCCTTCGGGTATGGGGTTCAGGTCGCTATTCCTTTCTCGATGCCCCTGGTGTGTCCATGGGATGAGCTGACTGGCCCACCTAGTGGGAGCCTGTGCACCACGGTTCGTGTGGCCCAGGGGAGGAGGTTTTGCCTTTCCTGGACCCCACTTTATGAAAGGAAAGCCTGAACCCCTGGGCCAGCTAGGGGAGTGAGCTAGGGTGGAGGGCAGTGCTGGTCATGGAGGGCAGTGTCCAGCCCTCTGCTCACCAGCTCCAAGAGTGATTCTGGAAACGGAGCCCAGTCCCTGGGCCCAAACCTTTGCCTCTGCCCTTCTTTCTCTCTACAAATTAGAGGCCACATCCCTGGCCGCTGAAGCCTTGTACCCTGACCCACTGTCTGAACCTGATGGAGTCTAAATGCAGTGAGCGGGTGCCAGCCTTCCCTGGAGCTCTGCAGAGGCAAGGAGGGGGTGGATGGAAAGACGGGAGTCCCTCCCCTTAGGTGAGGGGGGGAACTAGGGCCCGGGGAGATGCCCAGGCCTGGCGGCCGGCGCACGCGGGTTCTCTGTGGCCAGCAGGCGGCGCTGCAGGAGAGGAGATGCCCAGGCCAGGCGGCCGGCGCACGTGGGTTCTCTGTGGCCAGCAGGCGGCGCTGCAGGAGAGGAGATGCCCAGGCCTGGCGGCCGGCACACGTGGGTTCTCTGTGGCCAGCAGGCGGCGCTGCAGGAGAGGAGATGCCCAGGCCTGGCGGCCGGCACACGCGGGTTCTCTGTGGCCAGCAGGCGGCGCTGCAGGAGAGGAGATGCCCAGGCCAGGCGGCCGGCGCACGCGGGTTCTCTGTGGCCAGCAGGCGGCGCTGCAGGAGAGGAGATGCCCAGGCCTGGCGGCCGGCGCACGCGGGTTCTCTGTGGCCAGCAGGCGGCGCTGCAGGAGAGGAGATGCCCAGGCCTGGCGGCCGGCGCACGCGGGTTCTCTGTGGCCAGCAGGCGGCGCTGCAGGAGAGGAGATGCCCAGGCCTGGCGGCCGGCGCACGTGGGCTCTCTGTGGCCAGCAGGCGGCGCTGCAGGAGAGGAGATGCCCAGGCCAGGCGGCCGGCGCACGCGGGTTCTCTGTGGCCAGCAGGCGGCGCTGCAGGAGAGGAGATGCCCAGGCCTGGCGGCCGGCACACGCGGGTTCTCTGTGGCCAGCAGACGGCGCTGCAGGAGAGCTCAGGAGCAGGGGCCTGGGCCTGCTCCGGGGGAATCCGCCCACCCCACCGCGGCGGCCTCTCCTGAGGTTCCCTAGTGGCCGCGAAGGGTGGGCTCAGGGTGAGGGGTCAGGCCACACCAGTGGGTGCAGGGATGGCTGCGGCCACGGGAGGGCGTCCAGGGAGGAGGCCGGAGCTCAGGCCCACTCTGCACACCCAGCCCGCCACCTCCCCCGGCTCTCTCTTCCTTCGTGCACATTCTGGGGCTCATGCTTCTGCTGTGGTCCCATTTAGCCAACCTGGCCAGCCTTTCATGCCTGCTTCATGGGTGAGACGTGGAGGCCAGGTCAGCCGCAGAGCCCGGGGCACACGCCGCAGCCAGCACAGCAGCAGGTGGGCGTCTGCGGCCGGGGCCAGCGCGGGGCCCACTGGGCCTCGGAGGGGCCTCCCTGCCGACTCTGCCCCCGTCCTGTGGCCGTAAGTCCACCCAGAGCGCTCGATCTTCCGTCCACCAGGCCAGGGATGCACGCAGAGTAAGGATGTGTGTGTCTACGCATGTGGGGGTGTGGGTGTGACGGGGTGTGTGCTGTGTGAGAACGTGTGTGTAGTGTTCACATGTCCTCTGTGCGTGAGTCCCTGTGTGTGATGTTGTGTTCTCGGTGTGAGTTCATGGGTGTGACGGGGTGTGTGCTGTGTGAGAACATGTGTGTAGTGTTCACATGTCCTCTGCGCGTGAGTCCCCGTGTGTGATGTTGTGTTCTCGGTGTGAGTTCATGGGTGTGACGGGGTGTGCTGTGTGAGAACGTGTGTGTAGTGTCCACATGTCCTCTGTGCGTGAGTCCCTGTGTGTGATGTTTTGTTCTCGGTGTGAGTTCATGGGTGTGACGGGGTGTGCTGTGTGAGAACGTGTGTGTAGTGTCCACATGTCCTCTGTGCGTGAGTCCCTGTGTGTGATGTGTTCTCGGTGTGAGTTCATGGGTGTGATGGGGTGTGCTGTGTGAGAACGTGTGTGTAGTGTTCACATGTCCTCTGTGCGTGAGTCCCTGTGTGTGATGTTGTGTTCTCGGTGTGAGTTCATGGGTGTGACGGGGTGTGTGCTGTGTGAGAACATGTGTGTAGTGTTCACATGTCCTCTGCGCGTGAGTCCCCGTGTGTGATGTTGTGTTCTCGGTGTGAGTTCATGGGTGTGACGGGGTGTGCTGTGTGAGAACGTGTGTGTAGTGTCCACATGTCCTCTGTGCGTGAGTCCCTGTGTGTGATGTTGTGTTCTCGGTGTGAGTTCATGGGTGTGACGGGGTGTGCTGTGTGAGAACGTGTGTGTAGTGTTCACATGTCCTCTGTGCGTGAGTCCCTGTGTGTGATGTTGTGTTCTCGGTGTGAGTTCATGGGTGTGACGGGGTGTGTGCTGTGTGAGAACATGTGTGTAGTGTTCACATGTCCTCTGCGCGTGAGTCCCTGTGTGTGATGTTGTGTTCTCGGTGTGAGTTCATGGGTGTGACGGGGTGTGCTGTGTGAGAACGTGTGTGTAGTGTCCACATGTCCTCTGTGCGTGAGTCCCTGTGTGTGTGTAGTGTTCACATGTCCTCTGCGCGTGAGTCCCTGTGTGTGATGTTGTGTTCTCGGTGTGAGTTCATGGGTGTGACGGGGTGTGCTGTGTGAGAACGTGTGTGTAGTGTCCACATGTCCTCTGTGCGTGAGTCCCTGTGTGTGATGTTGTGTTCTCGGTGTGAGTTCATGGGTGTGACGGGGTGTGTGCTGTGTGAGAACATGTGTGTAGTGTTCACATGTCCTCTGCGCGTGAGTCCCCGTGTGTGATGTTGTGTTCTCGGTGTGAGTTCATGGGTGTGACGGGGTGTGCTGTGTGAGAACGTGTGTGTAGTGTCCACATGTCCTCTGTGCGTGAGTCCCTGTGTGTGATGTTTTGTTCTCGGTGTGAGTTCATGGGTGTGACGGGGTGTGCTGTGTGAGAACGTGTGTGTAGTGTCCACATGTCCTCTGCGCGTGAGTCCCTGTGTGTGATGTGTTCTCGGTGTGAGTTCATGGGTGTGATGCGGCGTGTGCTGTGTGAGAACGTGTGTGTAGTGTCCACATGTCCTCTGTGCGTGAGTCCCTGTGTGTGATGTTTTGTTCTCGGTGTGAGTTCATGGGTGTGACGGGGTGTGCTGTGTGAGAACGTGTGTGTAGTGTCCACATGTCCTCTGTGCGTGAGTCCCTGTGTGTGATGTTGTGTTCTCGGTGTGAGTTCATGGGTGTGACGGGGTGTGCTGTGTGAGAACGTGTGTGTAGTGTTCACATGTCCTCTGTGCGTGAGTCCCTGTGTGTGATGTTTTGTTCTCGGTGTGAGTTCATGGGTGTGACGGGGTGTGCTGTGTGAGAACGTGTGTGTAGTGTCCACATGTCCTCTGCGCGTGAGTCCCTGTGTGTGATGTGTTCTCGGTGTGAGTTCATGGGTGTGATGCGGCGTGTGCTGTGTGAGAACGTGTGTTTAGTGTCCACATGTCCTCTGCGCGTGAGTCCCTGTGTGTGATGTGTTCTCGGTGTGAGTTCATGGGTGTGACGGCGTGTGCTGTGTGAGAACGTGTGTGTAGTGTTCACATGTCCTCTGTGCGTGAGTCCCTGTGTGTGATGTTGTGTTCTCGGTGTGAGTTCATGGGTGTGACGGGGTGTGTGCTGTGTGAGAACATGTGTGTAGTGTTCACATGTCCTCTGCGCGTGAGTCCCCGTGTGTGATGTTGTGTTCTCGGTGTGAGTTCATGGGTGTGACGGGGTGTGCTGTGTGAGAACGTGTGTGTAGTGTCCACATGTCCTCTGTGCGTGAGTCCCTGTGTGTGATGTTTTGTTCTCGGTGTGAGTTCATGGGTGTGACGGGGTGTGCTGTGTGAGAACGTGTGTGTAGTGTCCACATGTCCTCTGTGCGTGAGTCCCTGTGTGTGATGTGTTCTCGGTGTGAGTTCATGGGTGTGATGGGGTGTGCTGTGTGAGAACGTGTGTGTAGTGTTCACATGTCCTCTGTGCGTGAGTCCCTGTGTGTGATGTTGTGTTCTCGGTGTGAGTTCATGGGTGTGACGGGGTGTGTGCTGTGTGAGAACATGTGTGTAGTGTTCACATGTCCTCTGCGCGTGAGTCCCCGTGTGTGATGTTGTGTTCTCGGTGTGAGTTCATGGGTGTGACGGGGTGTGCTGTGTGAGAACGTGTGTGTAGTGTCCACATGTCCTCTGTGCGTGAGTCCCTGTGTGTGATGTTGTGTTCTCGGTGTGAGTTCATGGGTGTGACGGGGTGTGCTGTGTGAGAACGTGTGTGTAGTGTTCACATGTCCTCTGTGCGTGAGTCCCTGTGTGTGATGTTGTGTTCTCGGTGTGAGTTCATGGGTGTGACGGGGTGTGTGCTGTGTGAGAACATGTGTGTAGTGTTCACATGTCCTCTGCGCGTGAGTCCCTGTGTGTGATGTTGTGTTCTCGGTGTGAGTTCATGGGTGTGACGGGGTGTGCTGTGTGAGAACGTGTGTGTAGTGTCCACATGTCCTCTGTGCGTGAGTCCCTGTGTGTGATGTTGTGTTCTCGGTGTGAGTTCATGGGTGTGACGGGGTGTGTGCTGTGTGAGAACATGTGTGTAGTGTTCACATGTCCTCTGCGCGTGAGTCCCCGTGTGTGATGTTGTGTTCTCGGTGTGAGTTCATGGGTGTGACGGGGTGTGCTGTGTGAGAACGTGTGTGTAGTGTCCACATGTCCTCTGTGCGTGAGTCCCTGTGTGTGATGTTTTGTTCTCGGTGTGAGTTCATGGGTGTGACGGGGTGTGCTGTGTGAGAACGTGTGTGTAGTGTCCACATGTCCTCTGCGCGTGAGTCCCTGTGTGTGATGTGTTCTCGGT
Source organism: Homo sapiens (assembly GCF_000001405.40). Lineage (NCBI taxonomy): Eukaryota > Metazoa > Chordata > Mammalia > Primates > Hominidae > Homo > Homo sapiens. The sequence goes on along the minus strand of NT_187503.1, from coordinate 64,424 downwards.
GTGAGTTCATGGGTGTGATGCGGCGTGTGCTGTGTGAGAACGTGTGTGTAGTGTCCACATGTCCTCTGTGCGTGAGTCCCTGTGTGTGATGTTTTGTTCTCGGTGTGAGTTCATGGGTGTGACGGGGTGTGCTGTGTGAGAACGTGTGTGTAGTGTCCACATGTCCTCTGTGCGTGAGTCCCTGTGTGTGATGTTGTGTTCTCGGTGTGAGTTCATGGGTGTGACGGGGTGTGCTGTGTGAGAACGTGTGTGTAGTGTTCACATGTCCTCTGTGCGTGAGTCCCTGTGTGTGATGTTTTGTTCTCGGTGTGAGTTCATGGGTGTGACGGGGTGTGCTGTGTGAGAACGTGTGTGTAGTGTCCACATGTCCTCTGCGCGTGAGTCCCTGTGTGTGATGTGTTCTCGGTGTGAGTTCATGGGTGTGATGCGGCGTGTGCTGTGTGAGAACGTGTGTTTAGTGTCCACATGTCCTCTGCGCGTGAGTCCCTGTGTGTGATGTGTTCTCGGTGTGAGTTCATGGGTGTGACGGCGTGTGCTGTGTGAGAACGTGTGTGTAGTGTCCACATGTCCTCTGTGCGTGAGTCCCTGTGTGTGATGTTTTGTTCTCGGTGTGAGTTCATGGGTGTGACGGGGTGTGCTGTGTGAGAACGTGTGTGTAGTGTCCACATGTCCTCTGTGCGTGAGTCCCTGTGTGTGATGTTGTGTTCTCGGTGTGAGTTCATGGGTGTGACGGGGTGTGCTGTGTGAGAACGTGTGTGTAGTGTTCACATGTCCTCTGTGCGTGAGTCCCTGTGTGTGATGTTTTGTTCTCGGTGTGAGTTCATGGGTGTGACGCGGTGTGCTGTGTGAGAACGTGTGTGTAGTGTCCACATGTCCTCTGCGCGTGAGTCCCTGTGTGTGATGTGTTCTCGGTGTGAGTTCATGGGTGTGATGCGGCGTGTGCTGTGTGAGAACGTGTGTGTAGTGTCCACATGTCCTCTGCGCGTGAGTCCCTGTGTGTGATGTGTTCTCGGTGTGAGTTCATGGGTGTGACGGCGTGTGCTGTGTGAGAACGTGTGTGTAGTGTCCACATGTCCTCTGTGCGTGAGTCCCTGTGTGTGATGTTTTGTTCTCGGTGTGAGTTCATGGGTGTGACGGGGTGTGCTGTGTGAGAACGTGTGTGTAGTGTCCACATGTCCTCTGTGCGTGAGTCCCTGTGTGTGATGTTGTGTTCTCGGTGTGAGTTCATGGGTGTGACGGGGTGTGCTGTGTGAGAACGTGTGTGTAGTGTTCACATGTCCTCTGCGCGTGAGTCCCCGTGTGTGATGTTGTGTTCTCGGTGTGAGTTCATGGGTGTGACGGGGCGTGTGCTGTGTGAGAACATGTGTGTAGTGTTCACATGTCCTCTGCGCGTGAGTCCCCGTGTGTGATGTTGTGTTCTCGGTGTGAGTTCATGGGTGTGACGGGGTGTGCTGTGTGAGAACGTGTGTGTAGTGTCCACATGTCCTCTGTGCGTGAGTCCCTGTGTGTGATGTTGTGTTCTCGGTGTGAGTTCATGGGTGTGACGGGGTGTGTGCTGTGTGAGAACATGTGTGTAGTGTTCACATGTCCTCTGCGCGTGAGTCCCCGTGTGTGATGTTGTGTTCTCGGTGTGAGTTCATGGGTGTGATGCGGCGTGTGCTGTGTGAGAACGTGTGTGTAGTGTCCACATGTCCTCTGTGCGTGAGTCCCTGTGTGTGATGTTTTGTTCTCGGTGTGAGTTCATGGGTGTGACGGGGTGTGCTGTGTGAGAACGTGTGTGTAGTGTCCACATGTCCTCTGTGCGTGAGTCCCTGTGTGTGATGTTGTGTTCTCGGTGTGAGTTCATGGGTGTGACGGGGTGTGCTGTGTGAGAACGTGTGTGTAGTGTTCACATGTCCTCTGCGCGTGAGTCCCCGTGTGTGATGTTGTGTTCTCGGTGTGAGTTCATGGGTGTGACGGGGCGTGTGCTGTGTGAGAACATGTGTGTAGTGTTCACATGTCCTCTGTGCGTGAGTCCCTGTGTGTGATGTTGTGTTCTCGGTGTGAGTTCATGGGTGTGATGCGGCGTGTGCTGTGTGAGAACGTGTGTGTAGTGTCCACATGTCCTCTGCGCGTGAGTCCCTGTGTGTGATGTTGTGTTCTCGGTGTGAGTTCATGGGTGTGATGCGGCGTGTGCTGTGTGAGAACGTGTGTGTAGTGTCCACATGTCCTCTGTGCGTGAGTCCCTGTGTGTGATGTTGTGTTCTCGGTGTGAGTTCATGTGTGTGACGGGGTGTGCTGTGTGAGAACGTGTGTGTAGTGTTCACATGTCCTCTGCGCGTGAGTCCCCATGTGTGATGTTGTGTTCTCGGTGTGAGTTCATGGGTGTGACGGGGTGTGCTGTGTGAGAACATGTGTGTAGTGTTCACATGTCCTCTGCGCGTGAGTCCCCGTGTGTGATGTTGTGTTCTCGGTGTGAGTTCATGAGTGTGACGGGGCGTGTGCTGTGTGAGAACGTGTGTGTAGTGTCCACATGTCCTCTGTGCGTGAGTCCCTGTGTGTGATGTTGTGTTCTCGGTGTGAGTTCATGGGTGTGATGGGGTGTGCTGTGTGAGAACGTGTGTGTAGTGTCCACATGTCCTCTGTGCGTGAGTCCCTGTGTGTGATGTTGTGTTCTCGGTGTGAGTTCATGTGTGTGACGGGGTGTGCTGTGTGAGAACGTGTGTGTAGTGTCCACATGTCCTCTGTGCGTGAGTCCCTGTGTGTGATGTTGTGTTCTCGGTGTGAGTTCATGGGTGTGACGGGGTGTGCTGTGTGAGAACGTGTGTGTAGTGTCCACATGTCCTCTGCGCGTGAGTCCCTGTGTGTGATGTTGTGTTCTCGGTGTGAGTTCATGGGTGTGACGGGGTGTGCTGTGTGAGAACGTGTGTGTAGTGTCCACATGTCCTCTGCGCGTGAGTCCCTGTGTGTGATGTTGTGTTCTCGGTGTGAGTTCATGGGTGTGACGGGGTGTGCTGTGTGAGAACGTGTGTGTAGTGTCCACATGTCCTCTGTGTGTGAGTCCCTGTGTGTGATGTTGTGTTCTCGGTGTGAGTTCATGGGTGTGACGGGGTGTGCTGTGTGAGAACGTGTGTGTAGTGTTCACATGTCCTCTGTGCGTGAGTCCCTGTGTGTGATGTTGTGTTCTCGGTGTGAGTTCATGGGTGTGACGGGGCGTGTGCTGTGTGAGAACATGTGTGTAGTGTTCACATGTCCTCTGTGCGTGAGTCCCTATGTGTGATGCCCGTGTTCTCAGTGTGAGTTCATATGTGTGACAGGGTGTGCTGTGTGAGAACGTGTGTGTAGTGTTCATATGTTCTCAGTGTGAGTTCATGTGTGTGACGGGGTGTGCTGTGTGAGAACCCGTGTGCAGTGAGATCTTCCCCAAAGGTAGTTCAAAGCTGGGGCCCTTTCATTTGCCAGGATCTAACCCAGCTACTCAGGAGGCTGAGGCAGGAGGATCACTTTAGGCCAGGATTTTGAGAGCAGCCTGGACAATATAGTGAGACCCTGTCTCTACAAAAAAATTTTAAAAATTAGCCGAATGTGGTGGGGCATGCCTGTAGTCCCAGCTACTCCGGAGGCTGAGGTGGGAGGATTGCTTGAGCCCAGGAGTTTGAGGTTATAGTGAGTAGTGATGGCATCCCTGCCCTCTATCCTGGACGACAGACCAAGAGTCCAGCCCTAAAAAAAAAATTTAATTAAAAATTTTTAAATCTTTAAAAATTAAAAATCTTAAATTTTTCTTTAAGATTTATAAGAGGACTCAGGAAAGGCTGTGCTGGCAATAACATCAAACTACTGAATTCTTTGAGAACTCCTTGGAGATTATTATTTTGCATGACATAACTAAATATCTTAATGATTGACTTAATTACTTAGATGTCAGTCTGTATGTTTTTGGTGTCGTAAGTACAAAGCTTAGAACTGTTACTTTTAGGGCCAGGAGCAGTGGCTAACGCCTGTAATCACAACACTTTGGGAGGCTCAGTCAGGCGGATCACCTGAGGTCAGGAGTTTGAAACCAGCCTGCCCAACATGGTGAAACCCCGTCTCTACTAAAAATACAAAAATTAGCCAGGCATGGTGGCAGGCACCTGTAATCCCAGCTACTTGGGAGGCTGAGGCAGGAGAATCTCTTGAACCCAGGAGGTGGAGCTTGCAGCGAGCCGAGATTGTGCCATTGCACTCCAGACTGGGCGACCAGAGCGAAACTCCGTCTCAAAAAAGAAAAAAAAAATTACTTTTAAAACCAAGTACTAGCTCATCTCTAAGTAATACTATTTAAGTAGGCAAAAGCCCCTGGAGGTCGCCTGAACTTTTTATACTCTTAGCTGAGGGGACAGAAGAGAAATGATATGACATTTACAGAAACCCCTATGTGGCCTGGCCTCATTGGAATTTTTTCTGTTAGTTAAATAAAGACCATTTGTTTCTATTGATTAAAAACAAAATTATTCATATAATGGGTTCAAGAAAACAAATTATTTCCCTAATGGACAGTGTAGGTCAGGACTAGAAGCAAACAAGGATCTTCTATCCCTCACACATCTCAACACTCAAGCAAAAACTCAAAGAAAACAATGATACTGATGGCCACGTCATGCACCGTGCTCACACAAGGATGCCAAGAGGCTTCATATGTGTTCCTTACCTGGACCCTTTTCACTGGATCAGAAACATGGATGTCTTAGTCTGATAGGCATCCTCTGCTAATGCATTTTAAATGATTGAATCAATAATTTGATGGGCCACTTTTTATAAGATGCTACGATACCCTATGAAGCACTATTAAAATATTCATTTTTCTGCACACCAGATGTGGCCCAATTGTTAATAACCAATATTGGTTCTCTGGCAAAAGGAGCAAAGGCAGCCCTCTAAGATATTCCTCACTGATATTCCATTTTTCAGTGGGTAGGGAGACATGAGTAGGAAGCAAATCTGGGTCCCTGCACCCACGATCTTGGTGCCATCAAAGTGCCGCTGCTGGCAGGTTCCTGGGCACCATCTGAGACCAACCCCACTGTGAGGTTGAAGGAGGCTGATCAGAACAGTGGTCCTCCACCTCCTCCCTGACACCTTGGGAAGATGACTTCCCAAGTCATCTTCTATTTATGTGGTCTTATTCCCATAACTGGGGCCAGATGATCCCACCCTGGGAAGACTGGGGAAATACCCAGAATGCTGACCTGAAAGTCCAATTTTCCCAATGTTTCTACTGTTCCCATGTCAAAAGTCTTTGGGCAAAATCTCCCAGGCTTGAGAGATTTCAATCCAGCCTGGATCACCTCTCCACTTCCTCCATCCCAGAGTGAAATTAAAAATCCCATCTGCTGTCAATGAGGAGTCCCTTCAGGCCCTAAAGTTTAGGAAGAGGAATCCCTATCTTGTCTTCTTCACTGTCATCCCAGCACATCAGTTACTTAAAACAACCCAATTTCAAGAACTGATAGACCTTCATTTCTGGACACACCAAAAACAAGCAAATTCCAGAGGATCAGCTTCAGGGTGGCAGAATGGAAGGAGTAAAAGCCAACCACGGGGCCAGGTGCAGTGGCTCATGCCTGTAATCCCAGCACTTTGGGAGGCTGAGGTGGGCAGGTCACCTGAGGTCAGGAGTTCAAGACCAGCCTGGTCAACATGGTGAAACCCCGTCTCTATTAAAAACACAAAATATTAGCCAGGCATGGTGGCGGGCGCTGGTAGTCCCAGCTACTCGGGAGGCTGAGGCTGGAGAATCACTTGAACCCAGGAGGCGGAGATTGTGGTGAGCCAAGATTGCACCACTGCACTCCAGCCTGGGTGGCGAGTGAAACTCCATCTGAAATAACAACAACAAAAAGCCAACCATGGGATCTGTGGCACAGCTCTCACTTCACCATTAGCTCAGCCAGGACTGGCAAGGGAGTGCCGACTGGAGAATCTTATCCTCTGTTCCTTAGCTGTTTAGATGTATAAAGCCTGAGGGCTTGGCACCTAATTAGGGTTTCAGAGCTTTGTTTTTCTCTCATCTAATTACATTTGCCCTGTGGGGAAGAGCCTCTGTCCAGGAGGCATTGCTCTCTGAAAATCTGTCTCAGCCCAACAACAGGTGCGAGAAGGTGAGCAGCTCCTCTCCCCACCAATGCGGTGAGATGCTGAGCCAGGCCCTGGCTTCTTCTTCCTCCTCTCCTTTCATTATCTCTAACTCCAGTGTCAGCCCTCAAGCAGTCCCCTGCTTTGTCACCCCTGGCAAGGTGGGGAATGTTCTCTTAACCTGCAGCTTTCTCCTTCGGGAACAAAGCGCAGCCTCTTAGCAGCTAGCAATCAACTCCTGTGCTCGGGGCCTTCCAGCCAGACCTTCTGCAGTGCACCCTGGTAGGGGGTAAATTATCCTGAGCTTGGAAAATGTGACTGAAATCACCTCCGACAGAGGGAAATGGGTTTTCATAAAAGACGTTTCCTCACCTTCGGTTGCAACTCAATTCAACTGACCATTTCCCACCCTGGATCTCAAAAGAAATTTCTGCTTTGCTTCTGGGTATGAGCCTGGGTGATAATGAAAGGTACTTAGGAAGCCAGGCCTATTGAAGCAGCGTAGCCCTCAGAGGGGCATGGCTGACTTGGCTAAGAGTAGGACAGGGTGTGGGGTTGAGGAATCCATGGGGACTCAGGGCATCCTGTCGCAGACACAGGAGCTGACCCAGCCACAGGGTCACAGGACAGCCTGTGTCACCACAGTCTCTGTGCAGAGTCCAGAGTTCACAAATGAGATAAATGGACATTTGCTGACTGGGGTAACTCAGCATCTATTCACCCTATTTCTGGGAAAAGCCTCAATTTACATGTGGGAATGGACCACCCCCTTATTGTTATAGGAGTTATTAAGAAATTATTTTAGGCAGATAGAGAGGAAAAGAGGTCCTTGGGAAGTTTTTGTTTCTTTTAAAGCAGATCCAGAAACCTTTCTTGTCTAACAGGAGAGCGCCAGCTCTAAGAGCCACTGGCAAGCTTTGATATGCAAACGCAGGCCACTGGAAACTGAGTCCACCCAAACATGGAGATTCCAGGTTTCTTCCTTGACCCAACAGGTGGCTGGCAACATGGCCGCCCCCACATATCCCCACGTGTGTAGAACATCATGGCGCCCTGCATTTGCATCTTAAAAGGCTAGACTGTGAGGGCCAGCTTTTTCGCAGGCTATGTGAATGACCTGCCTGGTCAAACCAATCCTCTGAGCCCTATGCAAGCCAGCACCGCCTCCTCCAGCCTCCTCATATAACTAGCTGATTACACCACACACACGCCCTCCCCCCACATCCCTTCTCCCCACCGGGGTTTTCTCTCTGTTCAAATCCCCTCTCCCTCTGTCTCTGTACTGGGGAGCTGTTTTCTTCTTCCTTCCTTCTTTCTTGTATATTAAACTTTTCGCTCCTTAAAACCACTCCAGGTGTGTCTGTGTCATTTTATCCAAGTGTGTGCTAGACCAAGAACCCTGGTGCTCCTCCAGTCATCTGAGCCATATCATTATCTCATTCTGTTTTTGATGGCACTAACCACCAGCATACCCTGCTCCATCAGAACACTCATCCTCCTGAGCTCTGTGAATGGCTCAGGATGCACAAGTGAGAGAAAAATGTAGCCAAGTGAGGAGGCAGAGAGAAACTGCCTCCTGGTAACACAGTGTGCGCCCCTGGATCAAGCCATGCCTGAAGGCAGTTTATTCTGAACTTTTACAATAAGTGCTCTTTTTGTTTAAATCACTTTGGATTGGGTTTTTGTTCACTTGTAAGCAAAAGCACACTATGATAAAAGGGGATACAAGACAAGTATCACAAATCCAGAAATGAGAAGGGCCCAACCCCAGAGCCCAGGCCAGTCAGGGAAGTGAAGAAACAGACAGCATCTGAGATGCCTATGCCCAGTATCCAGGGGCTAGGTCCATGGCCTTTGAGCCTTAAGATGCAGGAGATCCCTGTGGGGAACTTCACAACAGCGTAGATTCCCACTCATTCCCACAGCCAATTCTCATCCTTCAGTCTGGAAGGGGAACCAGAGGTTTGGTTTTTAACCAATATCCAGGCAATTTGGAAGCAGATAACACAGAGAATACTTTGAGAAACACTTCCCTACACTCTGAGCTGGGAGTTAAAGGACAGGGTTCCAGTCTCTGCGGTGAGGCAGTGGCAAGAGCTCCGTGGGCGGGAAGAATATTAGGCCAGAGCTTAGAACAGGACTGCAGAAGCAAGCATGGAATGGAAGCACATCTGGTGATCTGTGACATACAACGAGCCTGCAGATCACAGGCAATGATTTTTGGAAACTCATCACACAGTAGTTTGAAGCAGCAGGAACGATTTCATCCAAAGTGCCATGAGAACACTTCCGAGTCTACAAATGCTTTCATAGGTCAATCTAAGCTGTTCCTCCCAACCAACCTGTCTGGCAATTAGAAATTAGGAAATTAAAACTCAGAGTGTCTAAATAGCATGCACAAAGCCACACAGCTCACTGGTTCAGTAGCCTAGACCTGGGTCCCAGTCTGTCTGACACCAAAACCCACACTTTTCAAATAATTCTCCCTTCCACCGGGGGAAGGGCTGGGTCTCAGGAAAGGTCTAAGGGACACACAGTGCGGGGATCAGTGAGACCCTACTCAGCAGGCCCAGATGAGGGAAGGGGGTGCTCCACCTGACTGCGCAGGAAGGCAAGGCCATTTTAACTTTGCAGCATCTTCAACTCATCTGGCTCAAGAAATCCCAGCCCAGCTTGGGGATGGAGAGTGGAGGAACACAGGGGCACCCTTGCAAGTGAAGACTAAGCTCTGATTTTTTTTTTTATCTTACCCAAATTCCCTATCTAAAGGGTCTGGGGAGTGATGTCCTACAAACCATAAATTCTCATCAGATGGATTTTATTTAACCCTATATATTGTGACTTACTTTCCAAACTGACTCTGTCATAACATTATGAGACAAGGAAGAAAATCAAAATATTTTACCCCAAAACATAGGCTTTTTTGTCCATATCTTGAAATGGCCCTGCAAAGCTGTCCTTTGTGGGGGAAAATTTGTATCTGTAAAGAATCTCTATTAACATAGCTAGATATTTTTCTTCCAGGCCCTCCCAATCCTAAAGAGATTAACTGAAAGTCTAGCACTTTGTTTTTTTTTGTTTGAGACGGAGTCTCACTCTGTCGCCCAGGCTGGAGTGCAGTGACATGATCTCGGCTCACTGCAACCTCTGCCTCCCGGGTTCAAGCGATTCTCCTGCTTCAGCCTCCTGAGTAGCTGGGACTACAGACGCCCACCACCACACACAGCTAATTTTTATATTTTTAGTAGAAATGAGGTTTCACCACATTGGCCAGGATGGTCTCAAACTCCTGCCCTTGTGATCCACACCCACCTGGGCCTCCCAAAGTGCTGGGATTACAGGCGTGAGCCACCGTGCCTGGCCAAGTCTAGCACCTTTTAAAGATCTGAATAGGAAACATTTGCCATCTATTGTCTCTGAGGACAGCCTCTATAAGACTTCAAAAGAACCTTGGTCTCCACCATCTTTTATCTTAACTTGAAAATTTCCTTTCTATGGATCCCAGGTCTTTAGACAAACTCACTGAAATTTACCTATAGCCTGGAAGCGCCCCTCTCCTCCTGCTTTGGTCCCACCTTTCTGGACCAAACCAGTGTATTTCTTAAATGTACTTGATCGATGTCTCATGCCTTTCTAAAATGCATAAAACCAAGCTGTACCCCGACCACCTTGGACACATGTTCTCAGGACCTCCTGAGGGCTATGGCAAGGGCCGTGGTCACTCATATTTGGCTCAGAATACATCTCTTCAAATATTTTACTGAGTTTGACTCTTTCCGTCTACAGGAGCAATGGAAATGATTTTCTTTGATCACAGTGTCAGCTCCTGACATTGGGTTGCGCCCATCTGTGCTGCGGACTCTTCCCTCGGAATGAGAGAGGGAGATGGCTCCCAGTGTGGTTGGAAGTCACCCCGCCCCACAACAACACAGTGCAACAGGCCCCAGCTTCACGCCCATTCAGTTCAGGACAAGTTTTTTGGAGCATCTACTCTGGGCCAGGCCCGTAGGATACTAAGATGACATAGAGACAGTTCCTGCCTTTGAAGGGTGGTGATTTACCGGTGGGGAGAAAGGAAGAGGCCCATGAAAAGTCATGTCTGTAGAAGGTAAGAAGGGGCACAACCGCCATGGCAGGGGAGTCACAAAGGAGAAGCATTCAGCCTGCCGAGAGGTCCCAGGACTTTCCTGGAGGATCAGTCCCCAAACTGACTGTGACAGGGAGCTAGACCCAGATAACAGCAGAGGCCCAGAATAAGAAAGAGTCTGTGAGTGGGCAGAATTCCCTCCAGGGTCATGAGGGGAGCTGACTTCTGATTAGGGCATTTCATCCTTCTCTGAAATGCAGCTGAGAACTGGTCAGCCTCACTCCCTTGCTGAGACCAATAGCAACCCCTGATGATCTCGCCACAGGTCCAGCAGGTGCCCCATCCACACTTTGTCCCCAGCCCCTACCAGGAAGCTCCAAACACCTACCTGAGGGGCCAACTCTGATTCCCAAGGAGGTGACACCTCCTGCCCCTTGTGGATAGAACATTGATAAGGAAATAGGACTGAGTTTTAAGCTTCTTTCCATGTCAAATATTTAAAGGCAATATAATGTTCACGTTTAAATAATATTTCATGTGTAATTAAACAATCCCTTATTGTTAAATAGATGGGTTCCAATTTTGAACTGCTATAATCTGTGTATGTGTCCTTGATTAAATCCTTAAGAGAAATCCCTAGAAACATTATCTTAGGGTCAAATGGCTTGGATATTCTGTAAACTGCTGATAATTATGGGAAATTGCCTTCCAGGAAGGTTATAACAATTTGCCTGATCCCCAGCAGCAACAGACTTTACAAAGTACTCAGTATCTAATATTTAACTTTGATAAAGATAAGCTTCTCCCTTCTTTTTCACTTAAAATGCTGTGTCCCACCTCACTTTTCAGTGTCTCTTCACACTGACTAGACGGTTGGCTAATACTTCAGAGCTTGCAGAGCATCTTTATACACTTTTAATCCTCCTAACAACCGTGAGAGATGGAGCTTACTATTATCATCCGTGTTTGCAAATGAGGCCCTGAGAAGTTGAGTGATTTCTGTAAGGTCTCAGAGCCAATAGACACTGGTAATGAAATAAAATGCAAGGCCCCTTATCTTTGGAGCCCAGTGTTCCTTCCACATAGGTGGTTCTCCACCCAGGCTGCCCAGGAGAATGTGGAATCTCCAGCAGTTCTGACTTAACTGGCCTGGTGTGGATGTCTGTGATGGGTGAACATTCCCAGACCCTTTTAAGAACGTGATAGAAGTGGTAGACCCACTTCCCAGAAAAAGGGACGCACAACAAAATAATTGTCCTGAGTGGGTCTGACAGAATCAAGTGAACCCTTTAAATCTGGATCTAGAGGTCAGAGACTGAGAATGTCAGAGATGCAAAAGAGATTCAGTGCAAGAGAAATCCTCCTACTGGTTTTGAAGATAGATGTTGGCACCCTGTGTCAACAACCTGAGAGTGGCCTTGAGTTGCTGGGAGCACCCCAGACTGACAAACAGCAAGAAGAATATGGGGACCTCAGTCCTACAACCACAGGAACTGAATTCTACTGACAACCAGTGAGCTTGCAAAGAGGACTTGGAGCCCCAGATGAGAAGCAACCCTGGCTACCCCGATCTCAACCCTGTGAGATCCTAAACAGACAATCCAGCCATGCAACACCCAAACTTCTGACCTATAGAAACCCTGAGATAATAAATGGGCATTGCTCTAAATCACCAAGTTTGTGGTAATTTGTTACACAGCCATAGGAAGTGAATCGACCCGATGTATCTGAGCACCTGCTAGGTTATCATTAAGATTACTCTTCAAAGGTAAAAATTATTTTTCAAAATGTTTCTGCCCTACCTTCCGTGAGCATCTGGTGATGGATGGACACACACACATAAAGGTAGACTGTGTTTAGGTGGGCATGGTGGTGCATACCTGTGGTCCCAGCTACTCAGGAGGCTGAAAGAGGAGGATCACTAGGGCCCAGGAGTTCAAGGCTGCAGTGAAGCTGTGATTGAGCCATTGCACTCAAACTTGGGCAACAGAGCAAGACACCAGCTCTAAAAAAAAAAAAAAACTGCTGAATGCTATAAATAAGATTGGAACTTGCTCTGCTTTTACAAGACCACTGTTAGATGACCACTGACAAGAAGACTGTGAGCTGGTCTCTGTAGGAAGCAGGGGCCTGGGCAGCTCTGGGGGCACAGGAGACAGGCCTGGGGCAGAGACACCTCAGGGCATTTTCAGAAGACAGCCAAAGCAGCCATTCCAGCTTGTCCAGGTAGATGGCAAGTCAATGGGAAATGATTCCAGGAAGGTAGGGAAAGATGGAATTCTGGAGAGCATTGGACCTCAGATTGGGAGTCTGAACGTCTTTCCATATGCATCAGGAAGCCATGGAAAATTCACAGACTGGAGTGACTTTGGCAAAGGTGGGATTTAGGAAGACTGATCAAGGCACGGGATAGACCCATGGATGAATGGCCTTCTGGTCAGTTTGTCCCTGTGGTTTTCTATGCTGAGGAGGTGGGAATGTGCTGGGTGAGTCAGCTGTGGATTTGTGTCCCTGCCTCACCTCACTCCCCACTGTCGTGGATTTGTCGGCTCATCTTTAGTGCGCTCCCTGAAGAAACACTCAGTTCACTCAGCTTGTTTCTAACCCAAAACACTCTGCAGGGCCCATCCTCTTGTCTTTGCCTGGGGATGCCAGACCATGCACTGCGGATGCCTTCCACCTTAGCACTAGTGGGCTAAATGATGACTGCCTTGCTGTCCCAACACCACCCATCAAAGGGAAGACATCACCACTGGGGTCAGTACAGCCCAAGTGACAAACTCTATTCCCTCCTTTCTCTCCATCCCATGGACCCTTGATTTGCTAAGTGGGAAGACACTTTCTCGTGGTTCAACATCACCTAATCTGCACAATTGCTTCTGCAGGCTAATTCAGCCAGAAACCCTGGATATCTGGGCAGAAGCGCATGGAACTTTTAGAAGGATTACTACTGCTTTTAATATTCCCTCTGTCTTGAGTCAGACCACCACCAAGATCAGAGTTAATATTATATATCAAAGTCCTGCCATCAGCCTGTAGGATTTATTACTAGCATCTCTCCACTTCAGAGCTATGGGAACCAATGGAATTGGATCTAAGGTTTTGAGTTGGCTCTTGTGCATGGAAATTTGATGCAAACACTCTAATTTATTGGCCCTAAAGGGCTTTGGCAAGTCATTTTGGCAAGTCACCCACTGAACACAGAGTGAAATTTGCAGAGGTTTCCCCTCTGCTCGAACAGTGGTGTTCTCAGCACGTACAGGGAAGTTCTGCCCCCTTCCAGCCAGGTGAGCTAGGGGATTTTGCCTACCCTTTCTGAACCTCAGTTTTCTCATCCATAAGATGGGAATAAAAACATGGTCCTGGATGTATGTCTCATGCTAGGCACTGAGGCAGGGTACTCTCTCCCCTGAATGCCTTGCTATTGATGCATCACCAGTAAGGCATTCATTCATTGCACAGAAACTTAGGCATATGCCTACCAACATGCCCGATGTTGTGTGAGGCCTGACCGCTGTGAGGATGGACTTCCATCTGTGTGAATGGATTCATGAGACCAGCCCTCACTCTCAGGACTGAGGGCATTGGTGCTCTAACTTGTCTGAATATGGAATCAGCTGGAGAGATTCTGTAAATTACCAGTCCCATTCCACCCCTGAGATCCTGATTTCATCGGTCTTATTTCATTGCAGCCTGGTCGTTGGGATGTTTAAAACTCTCCCTAGGAATTCCAATGTGCAGCCAAGTTTGCAACTACACGGAGCCAGGTTAGTGGTGCGGTCAGCATGGTGATAATTGGGCTCATGAACCCATGACCTCAGCTTCATCAGGAGACCCACTGTAAGTACTGGCCCAACAGGAGGGAAAGGAGCTGAGTCAGATGATACCACTGAGGGGCATGAGCAAATGAAAAAACAGGAACCCAGCCATGAAGCTCGGCCTGAGTGTTGGAGATGCCACTATAGAGACCCTGGTCTTAGCAATCCAGACTTTTCCCCAGCAGAAGGGAGAGGCGAAGATTATCCTGGCCGGGACTGTGTAAGGCCTTTGAAGGTTGACCATCCATCTCACCCTGCTGTTTCCCTCCTTCCCTGCAGAACAGCCGTTCACCTGAATGTTCCAGGCTTTTGGTTAACAACCCCTGGTCTTTTGTACCCATTCACACTCAAAATCAGGGGGAATTCCTTGAAATGGTTAAAATGCAAAAGTGAAATTTAGAAGCCCTATGAATGAAACAACAATCCAACAAAAAATTCCCAACACTTTAAGCAAATGCTTTTCTGGCAGAGCCTTCAAATTGCTACTGTCCCACTATCTTCTGGAATCGTGTGTGTGTGTGTGTGTGTGTGTGTGTGTGTACAGCAACAGGTGAAGCAGCAACCATAAGGTAGCCTACTTCAGGTCTGGCACCTCTTTTCACTGCTGTCATGCCCTCTTCACTGAGATCCTGACTTAAATATGTACACATGTGAATGCTGATTTCTTAGCATGAATTTTAACTCAGCTGCTGCTCGAGCATCAATGATTCCCAATTCCCATCAGAGTGAATGGCCCCTTCCTGGTCTCTGCAGTCAGCCCTCTGAAGCTGCTCAGCTGAACCCCTGGGAGCTGAGGGGCCAACTCTGACTCCCAAGAAGGTGACCTCTATCTCCCTTCCAGGGCCAGAGATGCAACATCACACACACACTGCCTTTGGAATGTGTGATTAAGCTTTTGGCTGCCAGTAGCCTGACAGCTTCCAGCAGCTTTGTCTGCCACCGTGTCCACTTCTCTGTGCCAAAGTCACTGAAACAAAGGGACTGCAGATGTTGCTGTGAAGTCTTTCCGATTCTCCAGGACAGAGGAAAGCACTACATTGGGTGGGGGGTGGAGTGGGGATGATGGACTGTGGGAAACCTGCATGATGGGCGTGAAACAATAAAAATGAAGCTGATTTTCTTCATAGCACTTGCTGCCATAGAGATACATTTGTTTCTGTGACCCTCTCACTGGAATGTAAACTCCCTGAAAGCAAGGACTTGGCTTATTGCTGTATCCCAAGAGCCTGACACAGTGCCTGGCACATGGTAGACACTCAATAGATGTTTGAGATAGGGAGGGAGGGAGGCAGAAAGGGAGGGAGGCAGAAAGGGAGGGAAGGAAGGAGCAAGGAAGGAAGGAAGGAAGGAAGGAAGGGAGGGAGGGAGGGAGGGAGGGAGGGAGGGAGGGAGGGACATAGACAGTGGATTTGGATAGACTTGGCTTTAATCCTTTCTGTAGCAATTCTAGCTGTGTAAAAATACGCGAGTGAGTCATTTATTTTCTTTGAGTCTCTTTCTTCATCATAGTACCAATTAACAGGGCTGGGGTAAAGAGTGATACATGTAAGGTTGCTAGCACTATTGGCAATCAAAACATGAGAGCTACTTATTTACATTGTGAGTATTGCTATTACTGATATTATCAGTTCTGGACATTACTAATGATGTGAGCACTGGCCTTTCATCAGAGATTACTGGATAAGGAACATTTACCGTCTTGTCTCTGCTCATTGTGCTAAAGTTCCTTCTTTATCCAACAACACTTTCTCCTGTTTTCCCAATTTAGTGAAAGGATTAATCTTTTCACTCTCATTCTTCCTGTTTTGTTTCCCATAATATGGGTCCCATCCTTCCTCATGAGATGGGTATCTCAGCAATTGAGCCCACCCCACCCACATATTTGACCCTGATCCAAGACCCTCATTTCTGGGAATGAACCCCAGATCAGCCATGATAGAGGATAGCCTGGTTTTATCTTTTTGCTTCTGAGCAGGATCCAACAATTCTCATAAAATTTTCCCCAGCCTGTTCAGTGGAATTGTCAAAGCATCATTTTCAAAAAGTGAAAACATGATTCTTATATAAGTCTATAGGGAGTGTGTATAAAGATCTGTTTACTTCACAAAAGAAAGAACCAGAGGATGGTAAAGCTGTTTGAAAAGAGAATTGGAAGGAGAAAGATTTGGATAGACCATCAGAAACAGCATGCTGACATAAGTTTGCTAATTTGGAAACCTCACTCATTAATGTCCTGTGGAGCAATAAAATCTTTTTACAGGACAAAAATCATTTGTATCTCTACCAGACAAAAATTAACATGTAACTTGGCAGAGTCTGGGCCCTAATCAATAGTAAATAGTAAGTCAAACAAAAGTACCTTCCCTTAGAGAGTTAAAAAAAGCTTTGGTGGTTTGTTAGGCAACCTTCCAGTATGGCATTAGAAAGACATGCAGTCATCCTATTTTTACTTCCAAGTTTGGGATACTTTTTTTTTTGAGATGGAATTTTGCTCTTGTTGGCCAGGCTGGAATGCAGTGGCATGATCTCACCTCACTGCAACCTCCACCTCCCTGGTCCAAGCAATTCTCCTGCCTCAGCCTTCCCAGCAGCTGGGATTACAGGTACACACCACCACGCCTGGCTAATTTTTGTATTTTTTAATAGACACAGGATTTTACCACGTTGGCCAGGCTGGTCTCAAACTCCTGACCTCAAGTGATCCGCCCACCTTGGCCTCTCAAAGTGCTGTGATTACAGGCATGAGCCACCATGCCCGGCCAAGTTCAGGATACATTTTTAAAACAAAATTGGTCCCCCTCAGCCTGGTGGATGTCCCTGCAGAATTTAAAAATACTATTATGTTCTAGATGTCTGATGCTGTCAATTCTCAATGGCCAGAAGAGGGCATCTGCCCAGATCAGTTCAGGTGTCTATCCCTGGTCTGATCGCCTGTGCCCAGGGTAGCGTATCAGGTACACGGTGCTGTTTCTTCCCTGCTATTGGTAGAACAGCTTTTCCAAGAAGGGGATAGGCTGGAATGGAAGAAAAGAGTCCAAAGAGGAAGGAACCACAACAGAAAGAGAATTGCTTTCCTTTCAGTTGTGGGAGCACCAGCTTAATGCCTCTTTTCCACATTTGCCCAGCAGAGGAAATGTTTGGGCCGAATGACAGAAAACCTAGGGTAGCCTTTTTGGTGCCTCCTGACAATCACAGAAGCAGGCTGGGATCCTACCCAGGTATGGCAGAGCAAGTGAGCCCACCTAGGTGGGAATCCTTACCCTCCTAATCCTGCAGGTTCACTTCACAATCTTGTGTAGACCTTAAACCGTTGTTTAGACAGTTACATGAAATGGGGTATTTTCTAGAGAAAAGGACAGTGAATGGGGATATGGGGATTTTTTTTTTTTTTTTTGAGACAGAGTCTCACTCTGTCGCCTAGGCTGGAGTACAGCCATGCTCCCAAGCCATGCTTCCTGTATGGCCTGTGGAACATAGAGTCAATTAAACATCTTTCTTTTTTTTTTTTTTTTTTTTTTTTTTTTTTTTTTTTTGAGATGGAGTCTCGCTCTGTCACTCAGGCTGGAGTGCAGTGGTGTGATCTTGGCTCAATGCAACCTCCACCTCCAGGGTTCAAGCAATCCTCCTGCCTCAGCCTCCTGAGTAGCTAGGATTACAGGTGTGTGTGTGTGTGTGTGTGTGTGTGTGTGTGTGTTTAGTAGACACGGGGTTTCACCATGTTGGCCAGGCTGGTCTCTAACTCCCGACCTCATGGTCTGCCCACCTCGGCCTCCCAAAGTGCTAGGATTATAGGCATGAGCCACCGCGCCCGGCCCACCTCTTTTCTTTATAAGTTACCCGGTTTCAGGTAGTTCTTCATAGCAATGCAGACTAATACAACTACTTTGAGTCTCACCTTTCCTTATTTGGAAAAATATTTCCATTGAAGTGTTATGGTGAAGATTCAATACAATTAAATGATATAACATATGTAAAGGGCTTAGCAATAACCCAATGGCTAATAAGCAGCCAAGGAGTGGTAGCTCTCAGTATAGTCAGCCTCTAAGAAGAGAGCAAATGTTTGTTTTCAAGAAGAATTATGCAGAAAGGGCCACTTTCAGTCTACCATCCCCCCAGATTCCTTGAAGGCAAGATGATGTGAGCAGCAAGGGAAGAAAGGGGAGTGGGCACGAAATACTACAGAACCTGCAGGGAACGAAGTCCCTCTGTCTGTGTGTGCCTATATCAATAACTTAAACTTACACATTCATGAGATGCACTGTGTTTATTAGGATGTACATGTGTCCCTAAGAATCTGAGAGCTCCTGAGAGACAGAGACGGTGTCTTACTCATCTGCTCTCCCCAGGTCCTCGCTTACTACCTGGCACTTATTGGGTAATAAATGTCTGTTGAATGCATGGAAAAAGAAAGGTAGGAAAGGTGTGAAGGAGAAGATGGAGGTCATGACCAGTAGAAATCTCAGCTGTTCTGCCTGGGCTCCATGTCATCTCCCTGCTATTAGGCCCATCAGAATGTAAGCACAAATGCCTAGAGAATGACAAGCTTCTTTGGGACTCTGCTGACTAGACATGACATAAGACTGGACAGCTCCTGGGGAACTTCCAAGAGCTGGCTCCAGGCAGTGACTAATCCTAGGAGCTGCTGGCTTGGCTGCCTCTCTCCCTTCCTTATTTCCAAGATTGGTCACCTCCTGCTCTGAAATAGCAATTGATTTTCAGACATGAGTTGATAGAACCATGATTTTCTAATACTGTTCCAAAGACGCTAAAGTACCTCTGAGGAGCAGTGCAGGCTAGGATCAAACTCTCCCTACCTTCCACTCCACTCCCTACCTTGCCCCTCCACCTCTGCCCACTTTCTATTTCTTCAGGCACAGCAGCTTCTACCTTATGGATTACAAATTCTGATCATCCATCTATGGTTGCATTAGGAAAAGAGTACTGCTACTTTCATTTTCTTTTCTAACCACTGCCCTAGAAGAATAACACCTCACATTCTCTGGTAGACTGAAGCCTGCAGCTGCAAGGATGCTCAGAAAACCAGACTTCTATTCATTGGCCACTTGCTGCACGCTCTGTCCCTCGATCCTTGCAACGTACCTTTGAGGTAGGCACAAAAATCCCCATTTACAAGTGAGAAAACCAAGGCAAAAGAGGTTCAGTTTATTTCAGGCTCAAATGTGCTTCCAATAGCTTATAGCCTCTACAGCTAGTGTTTGAACCCAGGTCTGAAACAAATAGGATTGACAAGGGGAGGGAAAAGAGGAACAGAAATTCTTTTCTATAAGACAATTGTTTATGCAGCCAGGATTTCTTAAAATCCAGTTTGTGCCTACGGACATAATCTTTGAATTTGCTTTGTTTCTCGATGAATAACTTGGAAGCTATTCAAATAACTTGGAAGCTTCCTTTAAAAGGAACATCAGGAGGTGATTTTTGGCTAACCCTAGGTGTCCTTTCTGAGCCAAATAGATTTTCAAATAAGAAAATGAGAGGACATGAGCTTGAGGAAAATGATAGGCATTCCAACCTCATCCGCTTGCTGACGACCTCCACGTGATTTCAACAATGATTTCAAATATTTCACTTTTTAAGTCAGTGTGACTTAAGTATGAAATTGCCTCTCCCTAAAGCTCCCCTAAGGCCTAAACAGTCGTCATTACCATAGCTGTGACAGGGAGACTGTTGAATTTATAATCTATTGGCCATTCACAGCATAGCGTATAAACCTAGCTCATGATTTCTTTGCAATAGAAGTGTACTTTTTCATCACATTCCCTTCACAACTTACTCACCAGATCAGACTTTGAGCTCTCCTCCTGGCTTAGCCTGGATCGTTTGAAATGGTCATCCATCCTTTGGCCCCAATACCTAAACTAAGGTCTATGAACAATAAGATGATTTTCTTCAGTGGGACTTTTTTGTTTAATATAATATTAGATATTTCCCCTGATACAGGGCTCAATCTTTTTCTTTTTAAAGCAATATTTCTCAAAGTACTTTTCACAGAACTTAAGTTTCATTAAGCACTTCACTAAAAGAAAAGTCTGTGATCTAATAAATTTGGAAAATATTGAGAATTAGAGCCCCCTCTTAGATATGTACTGTAGCTACTCAGCTTGTTACAGATGAAGTAAACATTGTAATATTCACCCAGCTTTTGAGTGATGTCTATTAACGTCACCCAAATGAGTATTCCATGGAATGCACTTTGCAAAAACCTATTATTCAAGAAAATTCTGGAGCATGAAAGCTATTAACGATAAACCCATTCACAAAATCACACCAAATATCTAAAATCATGTTTAAAATCTCCTAGAAATGGGTTGAATTGCCCACTTCAGAGACAAAGTGATTCTTTTGTAATAACGAGTTTTGTTTAGTGAGTACTTATTATCTCATTGAATCCTGAGGACTACCTCACAAGGTAAGTATAGCTCTTTTCATTACACATGACAAACAAGGCTCAGAGAGGTTAAGTAACTTGCTCAAGATCACAAAACTGCAGAGTGACAAAACTAGAATTTTGAATCTAAGCTCAAAGGGTCACCAAACCAAATTTGGGTCCACCCACCCAGCCTATCAAAGTCAAGCACTGATATCGGCATTGCTGAGACAGAAGTTGAGGAATTTATTGCAGGCAGCAAGCAAGGAGTATCAGGCAGCTAATCCTTAAGGCCTAATCTCCCTGATGGCTTATGTGTAAGGGTTTTTAAAGGTGGGAAGGCAGAGGTTGCAGGCAAGGTCATACAATACATGGAGGCTACATATTGGTTTGGCCAAAAAAGGCAAAATATCTCAAAGTGAGGGCCCACAGGATAGGTGACCATTAGATGAATTCAAAGATTTTCTGATTTGAGACCAGGTGCAGTGGTTCACACCTGTAATCTCAGCGCTTTGGGAGGCCAAGGTGGGTGGATAACTTGAGGCCAGGAGTTTGAGACCAGCCAGACCAACATGGCAAAACACCATCTCTACTAAAAATACAAAAATTATCTGGGCATGGTGGTGTGCACCTGTAATCCCAGCTACTCAGGAGGCTGAAGCATGAGAATCGTTTGAACGTGGGAGGCAGAGGGTTCAGTGAGCTGAGATCGTGCCACTGCACTCCAGCCTGGGCAGCAGAGTGAGACTCTGTCTCAAACAAACAAACAAAAACCCAAAGATTTTCTGATTTGTGATTGGTTAAGTTTTGGCTACAAACTTGGGGTCAGCAGAAAGGAATGTTCTGCTCTGGCCTGTGGGGGTGACCTCCTCCAGGTCCCTCAAGAAGAAATTTAGAACAAAGAACAGTTGTGAGTGTTCAGTCCTCAGTTCCTCCTTATCTGAGATCTACGAGCCAACAGGTGGTATTTTCCATTTAGCGGGGTCTGGGTTTCTACAAAACAACTCAGGGACATATGTTAAGATGTTATCTCTAGTTTCTATAGGGAAACAAACATTTTGTGGCTCTAATTTTCTTTTTTTTTTTAATTATACTTTAAGTTTTAGGGTACATGTGCACAACGTGCAGGTCTGTTACGTATGTATACATGTACCATGTTGGTGTGCTGCACCCATTAACTCGTCATTTAAGATTAGTTTGTGGCTCTAATTTTCTTGACTATTGTTTTAAGCTATTATTACCTTCTTACTTATCAGGGTGCTCATCTACTTCTTGAGGCTAGCCAGGTGGCTGGAATTTTCCTTGGAGGGACTCAAGAGTTTCCTTTATTTTTCATGCCTTAAATGGGTCTGTTCTCCCTCTTCAAAGCTCAAGCTCTTAAGGACTATGCTATTGTTAGATTTTTCGTATTGGAGCAGTCCTTCCCTCCTACTCAAGAACACCCCTTCTTCAGACAGCCTGGCTGGGTCTTCATCCTGGGAGAGCTCATGAAACACAAACCAGATCTTGGCCCTCACGTGTGTCTAGGCAGAGCTGAGCCTGGGCAACACCAAGCATGCCCCCGATTTTGCATGTCCCAGCCAATTCAGAGTCAAGATCCACGCTCAGCTCCTTCCCTGCAAAGTGCTAATGATGAAGGATGGGGATCAAGTCAGCAAACTCCAGAAATGGTCTTAGACTAGGAGTCAAGCCTTGAGATCCTATTACACACCAGATTCATTCCCTGATTAGAGCTGCTGAATTCTTTTACTCTCACTGCACTCATGCTAAAGTTTCTTTCCTCCAGCCTCGTAACCCCAGAGGAGGCTGAGCCATGATACCCATTGTCTAGCAATAAATATTTAAGGAGCCCCTGAGATATGTCAGGCACCATCGCAGGTGCTGGGACAAGTGAATGTGACCAGGAAAGTCCCTCCCCTCTCAGAGGTTCTTTTCAAGTTGGAGGACAGCAAATACAGAAATATAGAGTCTAACATAACAACAGGGAGTAATAAACACTTTGAAGAAAAATAAAGTGGAATAAGAGGGTAGGGTTGCCATAGGGTTCTCTGGGCAGTCTTCTATGGAAAGGCCACTTGTTGGGGCAGAGAAAAAAAAGATGTCTGAAAGGAGGACTACCGGCCCCCCATAAGTGCGCTCCGGTCCATGCACAGGGCAATGGGCATGTAATTTCCTATGATTAAGACCTACAGTATGTACAATATTACTGCAACAGACACTGAGACTGACTTAGCATTGTTTCACAGCATCCGAGTTGCTCTGTTGGAGGAAAGTGCATGTGATGGGCATTCATTTGCTTCCGCCATCAGACAGATTCTCTACCTTTGTCTTTCCTACAAGATTCCCTAGGAAGGCAGGGCTCAGTGGCTCATGCCTGTAAGCCCAGCAATTTGGGAGTCTGAGGCAGTCAGATCACAAGGTCAGGAGTTCAAGACCAGCTTGGCCAACATGGTGAAACCCCGTCTCTACTAAAAATACAAAAATTAGCTGGGCATGGGGGCACGTGCCTGTAATCCCAGCTACTCAGGAGGCTGAGGCAGGAGAATTGCTTGAACAGAGACCCGGGAGGCAGAGGTTGCAGTGAGCCAAGATCGCACCACTGCACTCCAGCCTGGGCTACAGAGTGAGACTCTGATAAATAAATAATAAATAAATAAATGATTCCCTAGGAAGCTGACTCCCACTGAATGTGCCACTCAGGAGTCCCTGCTCTCTAGATTACAGTTGAGTTTGTTCAATGCAAGGCCCCAGCAGAAATGTTGAAAGTAAGAGCAAATAGATAGTTAACCACTCTTTAAGACAACAATGGATGTATACTTCTCTGGCCTCAGCTCCTGTGGGGAAGCTCCAGTGCCAGTCCCTGGGTGCTTCACCATTTTCCGTTAGTTCCTGAACCTTGTAAACTGACCCTTCACTAAATTCTTCCTAGTTAACCCTTTGAGAATGAAACCATTTCCTGCCAGGACTCTGACAGATACAAAGAACCCACAGCCGACTGCTGGGTGCGCGGCAGACCTAGTGCATGGCTCCACACTGCCATCTTGGGGGCTGGCACAGGCTGGCACTGAGTCTGGGGAAGGGAGCTGGGGCTGGAGGTGTGGAGGGGAAGACCGTGCATAGTTGCTTCCTGATCAGCTCTTTATTCGATTGAGAGTGAGGCAGGGAAGATTAGAGGGAAGCTTACAGTGGAATTCAGGGCTGAGGCTGCTATTCTTTTGCTCCTTGTAACTTCCTACAGTGTTGTCAGCATCCACATACTTCTCTGTGGGGTTGGTCTCAGAGCCAGGTTACCTTGTCTTAGGTCCAGTGGCAGCCTGACTGGCTTGGTGTCCTTGAACAAGTTACCTAACCTCTCCATACCTCAGTCCCTCAGCTGTAAAATTTAAAAAAAAAAAAAAAAGAAGAAGAGTACCTACTGTATAGCATTGATTTGAAGATTGAATGAGCTGGTATTATACAACGTTTAGAAGCAGTGCCTGACATGCAAAAGGCTCTCAACAAATACTATCCTTTACTAATATCCTGTGTGTCTGTATCAGAGCTGGTGGGGTGGAGGGACAGAAAGAAGTGGGAGAAGGTAAAGAGATGGGCAAATGATCTCTAAAGTCTCTCTGGCACTAACACAATTCTTTATTATGTGTTTTGTCTGGCTCTTTATATTGATAGCTGTTCCAGAAGCAATCAATAGCTATTAGTCGGTTTTATTCTTATTTTTCTGTCTGATCTTACAGGGGAGCAAACTGTGGCAAAGCATGAACTTACTTCTCAGAAAATTAACCATTATGTTGGCAATCACTGTGATTATTTGAACTTCAGCGTCTGGACAAATTTAGTCACATGAAATACAGAAGAGAGATTTCTCATGGTTAAAATGAAGCTCTCTTTATTTGCTTCTGCTAATTAAAAAATCAGAGCTAAAGATACTTAAACACTACAGTTAAAATGCCATGGTTGTCTATTGGCTTAATGAATTCTCTTATGAAATCAACTCTAAAATGTTATCCATCATAAATCATGAAACACAATTTTTCTTATTCTCTTTAGAGCTTTACAATTCATCTTAAAGACCAGTGTTTACACTCTCTTCCGTAGGTTGTACAATAACCTTTGGCGAGAAAAAATAAATGTCTGGCTTTCTGACTCATAGGTGTGTTCCCTTTAACAGAAAAAGAAAATATGTCCTCTTTAAAACTGATGATCATTGGTCACCTCAATTTTATTGAAGTTCACTTCTGACCTCTTTAGATGTAGTTCTCTACATAAAACTGCCCAACAGAATTCTCTGTCTGAATGCCTCCTCCACAAACAAAATTTTAAGAACTAAAATCATCATCTTTCCTTCCAAATGTGCTCTCCCTATGTCCCCAGGGCTCTCCATGTGTAGAGCTGAGACCATTTGCCACTCAGTTTCCTCACCCAATTAATTACAAGTCCCAACAATTTTCCGTTGTTTTTTTTTTTTTAGACGGAGTCTTGCTCTGTCACCAGGCTGGTGTGCGGTGGTGCAATCTCAGCTCACTGCAACCTCCACTGCCTGGGTTCAAGCGATTCTCCTGCCTCAGCTTCCCAAGTAGCTGGGATTATAGGTGTGTGCCACTACATCCAGATAATTTTTGTATTTTTAGTAGAGAGGGGATTTCACCATATTGGCCCAGATGATCTCAATCTCTTGACCTCATGATCTGCCCACCTTGGCCTCCCAAAGTGCTGGGATTACAGGCGTGAGCCACCATCCCTGGCCCAGTTTTGCCTTTTTAACATCCCTCAGCTCTTCAAATCCATTTTCTCTTCTCTAACACCTCCCCATTCCCCAGCTCGTAATGAACTCTTAAGTAGATTACTACGATCACCTCCCAAATGGTCTTCCTGGCTCCATCAGCCTTGTGACCTTCAAGTTCATTCTCCACATGGATGTCAGAGTAACTTTCTAAAATGAAAATCTGACCACGTTACTCTCTTGCCTAAATCCGCCTATGGCCGCTGTTAGGATCAAGTCTAAACTCCCGACCCTGGAACATCAGGTCTTTGTGCTCTGTTCAGTGCTTCTCTACCTCACCTGCAACCAACACCACTCCCACATCCATATTCTGCTCACCGTGTATCAACATGAACAGGAGGTGGGTGTTTCAGTCCCCAGGAAGACACTGGGCCTTTTCAATCATCTACTGCTGTGTAATAACCACCCTGCAAACTGACCACATGATTTCATTTTGCAAGGGTTCCTTCCTTGGGCTGTGTTCAGCAAAAGGGTTTACTGAGCTGGCAGGTCCAAGATGGCCTCACTCACAGGACTGGCTGTTGATGGGAGCCTTGATGCTCTTGGGCTCACCCCTTATCCTCCAGTAGGTTAGAGCTTCTTACAGTGGTTTCAGGCAGCATCTGAAGACAGTAAATGCAGAAGCTCCAAGGCTTCTTACATTCTAGCCTGGAAAATCACATCACATTGCTTCCTTCATATTTTTTTGGCAAATCAGGTTGCAAGGCTTGCCCAGATTAGGGTAAAGAGGCAAAGAGGCTCCTTTTCTTTTCTTTTTCTTTTTTTTTTTTTTGAGTCAGAATCTTGCTCTGTTGCCCAGGCTGGAGTGCAGTGGCGCGATCTAGGCTCACTGCAAGCTCTGCCTCCTGGGTTCACGCCATTCCCCTGCCTCAGGCTCCCAAGTAGCTGAGACTACAGGCACCTACCACCACGCCTGGCTAATTTTTTTTTTTTTTGTATTTTTTGGTAGAGACTGTGTTTCACTGTGTTAGGCAGGATGGTCTCCATCTCCTGACCTCGTGATCTGCCTGCCTTGGCCTCCCAAAGTGCTGGGATTACAGGCGTGAGCCACCGTGCCCGACCAAGAGGCTCCTTTTCTTGATGAAAGGAGTAGTGAAGTCACATTGCATGTCCTTGCAAAGGGACATGCAGACCACATTAGTGAGAATATGTGCCTGTATTTTGCAATCTGTAACATGGGCATAAACTAAATGTTTTCCAAAGGGAATAGGGCAAAACAAAAAGGACCTTGACCACTCCTTTGGCCCTGAATAAATCTAGGAAGCCTAAGAGTATGACTATCCTGAGGTAGAAAGAGGGTCACATGCTGGATAAGAGGTACCTGGGCTCTCCACTTACAAGAAGAGAGCATGGTTACATTTATAATCACCATTCCCAACACGCTGTGAGTGCAGGCAGCTACCAGGAGGAGAACAAAGGAAATAACCAGGACACCCATCTCTAAACCTGTTAATTTAATCACACGGAACACTTCTATTTAAAATTCCCGAGGGTTAAGATGTAAGAATGCTTATCAAGGTAAATGCTGTTCACACTGCTTGGAGTGTCAGGCCTAGATCTCTATCCATCAGAAACAACAATATCAATAACAACAACAGCAACATGATGATGGGGCAATTTCTGAAAAGCACCATGTATTTTATCGATACTTGTCCGTTGCAGAAAATCCAGGTGAATCCAAAGAAGAAATAAATGTCTTCCACAATCCCATAGCCCAGAGCTAACTAACCACTATAAAGAACCCAGCGTGGTTTTAACTAATGGATCAAAAGATGCTCATCAAAAGCTCTGAGCTTTCCTGAGTGCTAACAGGAAACATCTAGCATCACTGGTCTCTCCAAGGCTGCAGGTGTCTTTGCCCATAGTGCCTGTTTTGTGTCAGGGAAAGAATCAACCTGGGAGCCAAGCCCAGGAATCAGGATGACCAAGACATACTGGACAAGGAGGCAACAAACCCATCCAAGGACACTCAAGGACAAATCAAGCAAATGAATTTAAGGGAGACCTGCTCATGGTCTGCTTTGCTGCTCAGCATGGCTGGGAGGCACAGTGGAAGATCATGCATCCTTCCCCTGGGACTCCTCTGCCAGAGCCTGAGAGCTTTCTCCTGCACACAGGCTAGGGGTAGGGCAGTTGGAATTGATCCATGCCTTCTAGCTAGACTGTGGGTCCCCTCAGTCTTGGGCATGGTGACAGCCCAGCATCAGACAGAGGTCAGTATCAAACTAGAAAATTTAATAAATGCTGTCAGATTTGTAGACCCAAGAAAATATAAACTGCCAATCACGGAGGAAAAAAATCTCTCAATGATCTTATCTTTATATGATTCCCTTGCTGCCTGGAGATTGACATTTCCTTGGGGATAATCTGGTCATAGGATTGGTGAAGGTGGAAGGGAGGCAACCTCCAAAGGTGGGGCCCTCTGCTCACCTGGGACAGGGAGGGCCTGAGGTAGGTGTCTGTGTGGGCTGGGGAGGAGGATGGGAGCAGTGCTTCTAGATGTTTCCACTTTCTCCTCATTAGATAATAATGAATGGGTGATTTCCCTAGTCACTGCAGTGTGAGGAAATCTACAAAATTAATTTCACAATACACTTTACAGGATAGGTGGAGAAACACATGAAGCACAACTGCAGTGGGTTATAAAAAATGGCCTTTCGAGTTGAGCAGTAAATTCGTTCAAGCAGCCATTCTGAAGGACAAACTGGCTCTGTATTTAAGAGGGGCATTCCAGCACTTCTCTAGCTACTGGGTTGACAATGACTCACCAAAGCCTCTGGTAGCCACCACAGGACGCCCAGAGCACGTTTTAAAGCTGAACACCAAACTGCGGACTTCGGGAGTAAGTGAACTGACTGGTTTTTATTTTGTTTTACTGCTTTTAACATTACAGTGACTGTTACAGGTTCCAGCAGGATAACTGGGTGGAAATGAGTTTGGTTTCACTTAGTCTCTCTAAAGAGAAAGCAAGTTGGTAGACTAATACCTAATAAAAGCAAAGCTGCCAACAATTGAAATTGCCTGGGCTGCTCTGTGTGTCCCACATGCATGGGTGTGGGTGCCAGTGTGTGTGCGTGTGTGCATGCATGTGCATGTGTGTTGGGATAGAGTGGCAAGAAAATGGGAAATAATAAGAATGTTCAGTCCATAGCCCTTCATTATAAAAAGGTGAGCTGTAATAAATACTAGTGCCACATTTAGCCAAAACTTTACTCCAGCCAAAGGTGATATTTTCATGATAACATCCTGTGATTGCTTTGTTCTTCGTCTTTTATGTTCTTCCTAGATGGGCTCAGAACATACAAGAATTAAGTACACATCTTATTTTCCAGTGATAATGCTACCGGCAAATTCTGTTGTTTGTATAAACATCAGCCATGTTTATATAACTAAACTAGTGTTTTGTTTTGTCAATTCAGCAAGAAATTAGACCACATGGTGGCTTAATGCTGCATTGATTTGGCTATCAATTTGTTTTCACTTTTCTGCAAAATATTTAATACATTATTAAATTGAATTATGCTGATGCCACAGTTGTTCTTATCTCAATTGTCTTAAAATTCATTTAATTTTTTTTTCCTTTGGTTTCATTATTCAAATTTTAACTTCAGTTCTCAACATTTTATCTGATGGAAGAGATGGAGTCCATTACTAAGGACTCCATTGTGCTCCATCATGCCAGAGTTGTAAAATAGATCTTTTAAAGGAAATTTACTGTGATTTTTTTCTATTTAAGAGCTTCCTCTCCAGTTGAGCATGTAAGAAAATTATACCAGGAGAATACAGTAAACTCTATGAGGCAAGCTATAAACATGTAGCATTGTGATTAGGGCTGGTTCTCCTTCTAGAGACATGGTAGGATTGCAATTTCATACCATCCTTGAAGTTAGAGAGAGCCACGTGACTCATTTAGCCAATGAACTGTGAGCAGAATGACATGTCACTTCCAGCAGAAGCTTTAAGAATCTGAGAGACATTCATACGTTTTCCATGTGCTGTAGCCTTATACCCAAAGCCTGGGTCCCAAGTGACCATGACAGGCAGAGCTCCCTGTTGAGCCACAGAGATTTAGAGAATGGCTGTTAACACAGCATAATCCAGCCCATCCTGACTAATCTGATATTAACATGTATAATAAAGAATTCTATCAATGCTGAGGGAAGATGATTAGTTAAGGTCCTAGGTTGCAAGTCTCAAAACCTCTTCTAAGGATTGTAGACAGGAAATTAAATGACTTCTAGTCCCTAGAGTTCCCAATCTCCTACCATCCCATCCTAATATGACAGAAGTAATTCCTGAGTTGCTTCTGAAACCAGAGCTTCCCTCAGAACCCTTAGCCTGCCAGATGGCTTCTTGGAGAGCCCTCACTCACTTTTCTCCTTCTGCTATTGCTGCTCATTCATTCCAGCTTTTAAAAATTCATCTTTATCCAGGAACCTCGCTTCTAGAAAAGTCATACAGGTGCTTCCAGGAGGCTACATGGGCACACATATTTTTCTAGCCACTTTCACTAGACCAATGCAGCAGAGAAGAAAAGCCTCAATAATTATTATGACATGGCATGTTAGGATACCAAGTAAATTGCATTTGTAAAATGTGATTTTCTGTTGGTGTTCACGTCGGCTCTACTGACATTTGGTAAGTATTATTGACTGACTGACTAACTAATGTGGTCATTAGTCTTCATAAAGAAAGGCTCTCTACAAAAACGGAGGGATGCCCTTTTTCTGGCATTTAATACGTAAGAAATTGCCTCCGATAGAAACCAGAGTTGCCTGATTACTATCAGCACAGGAGAAATGTATTAATGTGCCTTTCTAGTAACAGGTTTTTAGAAAGTCAAATATAAACAAATCTGTCTATTTGTGTGTGTGCATGTGGTAGTGGGGAGGGAAGAAAAAAGGAGGGGGAGAGAAAGAGAAATAAGAACCAAGTTTATTATACTGTATTCAGGGGGAAAAAATTTTCCCAAGGTTCTAACAGAAGAGCAAAGTGCCACTGTCAATAGCCTCAGTAGTGTTAGGGTTGCTTTTATGTATTTATTTATTTACTTATTTATTTATTTTTCCTTTTTTTTTCCTTTCTCTTTTTTTCTTCTTTTTTTTTTTTTGGACAGAGTCTCACACTGTCGCCTGGGCTGGAGTGCATTGGCGCAATCTTGACTCACTGCAACTTCTGCCTCCCAGGTTCAAGTGATTCTCCTGCCTCAGCCGCCCAAGTAGCTGGGATTACAGGTGTCTGCCACCGTGCCTAGATAATTTTTTTATATTTTTAGTAGAGATGAGGTTTCACTATGTTGGCCACGCTGGTCTCAAACTCCTGACCTCATGATCCACCCACGTTGGCCTCCCAAAGTGCTGGGATTACAGGCGTGAGCCACCGCCCCTGGCCAGGATTGCTTTTATAGCCAGTCTTCAGGTGCCCACTGTAGGAACAATGTCATTTAGCCCTCGGGATTATTCTGTGCCAAATATGGATAATGACTAATATTCAACACAGATATTCTCAGCTCAGAAGAGCAATTAGCAAATTCATAAATTAAGTGCTTGCTTCCTTTTTAGTCAAATACAAACATTTGTTAAAAGATATTATTTTGCTTTACACTTTTTCTCTCAGAAATAAACAGATGCTTGAATTCCCACAGTGCTGCTTGAGCCTCACACCATGTCATCCTGCCAGGCACCCAGATCCAGTTCTAGAGTTTCACATGATCATGAGTGTTGGTTAATAAGTCACTGTGAACTGGGAGGGGAGATTTTTCAGGAGTGCCACAGGGCTCTCCCTTTAATCACATACACTCCCTGCTTTCATTGGAAAGTGTATAATGATGTCAGAGTGCCCCA
Organism: Homo sapiens; assembly: GCF_000001405.40. Lineage (NCBI taxonomy): Eukaryota > Metazoa > Chordata > Mammalia > Primates > Hominidae > Homo > Homo sapiens. Next base: position 33,418 of record NT_187503.1, on the reverse strand, counting down.
GAATGGAGCTAGTTGGAAGACTGCCGTCATAGGGATGCCTTAGTGAATTAATCAGGTTTTAATTTCTGGCTCTCAACTTTGTAGATGTAAAAGTTGATTTATCAATATGTGAGAAAGGATGAATCTTTCTGAAGGTTATGTCATCACACTCACTAAGCACACAGAGAATAATGTCTAGAATCTGAGTGCCATGTTATCAAATTATACTGAGACTCTTGCAGTCACACGGGCTGACATGTAAGCATCGCCATGCCTAGTACAGACTCTCCCTGCAGATGAAATTATATGGGATGCTAAATTATAATCAGAACAATGTTTGGTGAGCCAAAACTACAACAAGGGAAGCTAATTGGATGAATTTATAAAAATATACCTCAGCCAAAATAGCTTAATTCAGTCTCCCTTATCATAAGGATACTCTTGCCTAAAGGGACAGTAATATTAAAGACACTAGGAATAACCTCTGTACTTTGGACAGTAGACCTACATAGCCCATTAGGCCTCAATGAAGTCTTATGCAAGACCAGAAGCCAATTTGCCATTTTAAGGTGATTCTCCATGTTTCTGCTCTAACTGTGCTTCACAATACTCAAGACACTGAATCAGGATGTTTCCTGGAGTGCAGGGAGCTGTCCGTGTTACTGAGCAGTTCTCAGCAACACAAAGATCCTACTGACTCCTCATCAGACTTCTTTCTCACTGGAATTTTACACCTGGGCTGTTAACACCAGGCCAGGTCAAATTCAAAGGAGAGAAAAAAGCTCATTATGAAGGGTAAAATCCAAAACACTGTGCATAAAGATATGTGTGCACAATTTTTATACATAAAGATTTCATAAAGCCAAAGCATCAGGAAATGAAAAGAGATACAGAAAGAAAAATGATGGTAAATGAGACATTAATTTACCCTTCTAATCTCTATCACAGCAAAAAGGTAATTAAAAAATCTATATGAGGACCAAAAAATACACAAAGATTATGTAGCAAAGCCTATAGCCTGAAAAAGTAAACATTGAAATTTGTATGTCCATAAAATGTTTACAAAATTCAGTACATATTACACACCCCACCCTAAAAACATCTAAGCAAAGTAGAGAATGTAGAAATGCTACAGATTATATTCTCTGATTATGACACAACAAAACTAGAAATTACAGCATGGAAATTTAAAAGCTTTCTCTTAAATAATTCTATGTCAAAAAGAAATCCAGGCCAGGTACAGTGGCTCATGCCTGTAATTCCAGTACTTTGGGAGGCCAAGGTGGGCAGGTCACTTGAGGTCAGGAGTTCAAGACCAGCCTCGTCAACATGGCGACACCCTGTCTCTACTAAAAATACAAAAATTAGCTGGGCCTGGTGGCGCATGCCTGTAATCCCAGCTACTTAGGAGGCTGAGGCAGGAGAATTCCTTGAACCCAGAAGGTGGAGGTTGCAGTGAGCTGAGATTGCACCACTGCACTCCAGCCTAGGTGACACAGCAAGACTCTGTCAAAAAAAAAAAAAAAAAGAAATCCAAATAAAATTTCCAGAATATGTGGAAAATAGTGACAATAAAAATATTACACATGTGTAATCCCAGCATTTTGAGATGCCAAGGTGGCAGGATCACTTGAGACCAGGAGTTCGCAACCAGCCTGGACAACATAGGGAGACTCCATCTCCACACAAGCCAAAAAAAAATTTTAAATAGCCAGGTATAGTGGTACTTCTTGTAATCCCATCTACTTGGGAGGCTAAGGTGGGAGAATCACCCAACCTCAGGAGTTCAGGGCTTCAGCAAGCCATGATCATATCACTGCACTCCAGCCTCAGCAACAGAGCAAGATCCTATCTCAAAAAAAAAAAAAAAAAATCACATGTGGGAAATAGCTATAGCACAATAAAAATAAATGTATTAAGTATGAACAACAAAAAAGCTAGTAAAGGTTGAACAACAACTATCCTTAGGAAAGTGGAAATAATGTGTTAATAAATATGAAAGCAGGCTAGGCACAGTGACTCACATCTGTAATCCCAGCACTTTGGGAGGCTGAGGCAGGCAGATCACCTGAGGTCAGGAGTTCCAGACCAGCCTGGCCAACATGGTGAAATCTTGTCTCTCCTACAAATACAAAAACTAGCCAGGCTTGGTTGCGCACTCCTGTAATTCCAGCTACTTGGGAGGCTGAGGCAGGAGAATCTCTTGAACCTGAGAGGCAGAGGTTGCAGTGAGCCAAGATCATGCCACTGCACTCCAACTGGGGCAACAGAGTGACACTCCATCTCAAAATAAATAAATAAGAAAGCAGAAACTAATAAATTAGAAAACAGAAACATAGAACTAATTTATAAATCAAAGCACTATGCCTTGAAAAGAGGGAGAAAAATTGTGAATTAAGGAAGGGAAGAGATGGTTGGAGAGGAGGTGGGAGAAGGCAGAGATAATTGAAGGAGCAAAAGCATCTGGAGAAGCAAAGCCACTGAAAGATGAACAGGGCTCTGAAAGAAATGCTTGATTGCTATCTTTTCAAATGACTGCAGTTCCCAGTGACATCATTTTTCTCCTCCCTGGAAGTCTGAGGGGCAGTTCACTTATCTCCTCCCCTCCCCTACTCCTCACCCCACACTCAAAACCTGTCTATGCTCCTTTCATTCTCATATGACAGATTTCAGATGGCATTCTTATTTCCCTGATTTCTTTTTGAGATAGCTTGCATTTCCCTACTCTATATAAAGCCACCGTTTATCAAATGCCTACATGGACCAAGCAGTCCACAAGGGCTTCACAGACAGTTTTACTAAACTCATGCCAAAACTTTCAGGTTTTATAGATAAAGATCTATACCTTATAGATAAAGGTATCTATAAGGTATAGATAAAGGTAAGGTATCTATACCTTATAGATAAAGAAATTGAAGCTTATAGAGTTTAAGTAATGTTCCCAAAGCCTCGTGGCTAGTAATTCAAACCTAATTTCTGCCTACTCCAAAGTCTATTTTTCCTCATGATACTATACTGCCTCTCCATGGATAAAGACAGAGATCACATATTAATAAAATTTGCACAAAGTCGGCAAATTGTTGAAAGGGAAGGCTAAGATGATTAATAAAATCAAGAGCCAGATGATCTCAACAACCTGAAATAACTGGCTGACAACCAATTTGAATAACTCCCTGCGGGTGAAGTTCAAAGTACTATTTGGGGTTTTTTTTTAAGTTTGGCTGGGTGCAGCGGCTCACGCCTGTAATCCAAGCACTTAGGGAAGCCAAGGTGGGTGGATCATGAAGTCGGGAGTTGAAGACCAGCCCGGTCAACATGGTGAAACCCCATCTCTACTAAAAATAAAAAATTAGCCGGGCCTGCTGGTGGATGCCTGTAGTCCCAGCTACTCGGGAGGCTAAGGCAGGAGAATCGCTTGAACCCAGGAGGTGGAGGTTGCAGGGAGCCGAGATCGCACCACTGCACTCCAGCCTGGGTGACAGGGCGAGATTCCGTCTCAAAAAATAAAATAAAATAAAATAAAAAATAAAAGTTTGATATATTCAGAATCAGGGAGGTCTGTTGGGTGCAGTTCATTTGAAAAATTCCTCAGCATTTTAGTGATCTGTATGGTCCCTCTATCCGTCAGGGTCCTAGCAGGAAATTGTTGCACTCTCAAAGGATTAAGCAGAAAGAGTTTAATGAAGGGTCTCTTTCCAGGGTTAAGGGAACTGCTAGGGTTTGGATATTTGACCACTCCAAACTCATGTTGAAATGTGATCCCCATTGTTGGAGGTGGGGCCTAATGGGAGGTGTTTTGGTCCTGAGTGTGGACCTCTCACGAATGTCTTGGTGCCATCCAAGTGAGTTCTTGCTCGCTCTTTTTTTCTTTTTGAGATGTAGTTTCACTCTTGCTGCCCAGGTTGGAATGTAGTGGTGCGATCTTGGCTCACTGCAACATCCACCTCACGGGTTCAACCCATTCTCCTGTGTCAGCCTCCAGAGTAGCTAGGATTACAGGTACCCACCACTATGCCCAGCTAATTTTTGGTATTTTTAGTAGAGACGGGGTTTCACCATGTTGGCCAGGCTGGTCTCAAACTCCTGACCTCAGGTGATCCACCTGCCTCGGCCTCCCAAAGTGCTGGGATTACAGGCGTAAGCCACCGTGCCTACCTAGTTCTAGCTCTCTTAATTCCCACAAGAGCTGGTTGTTAACAAGAGCCTGGTACAAACCCCTCTCTCTTGCCACGTGATCTCTGCACATGCCAGCTTCCCTTCCCCTTCTGCCATGAGTGGAAACAGACTAAAGCCCTCACCAGAAGCAAATGGTGGCACCATGCTTCTTGCACACCTTCAGAACTGTGAACCAAATAAACCTCTCTTCTTTAAAATTATTCAGCCTCTGGTATTCCTTTATAACAACACACACACACACACACACACACACACACACACACACACGCAAAAGCAGACTAAAACAGGAACTAATTAGAAATGGTGATGCACCGAGGGATTGGCACCGAGGCTCCCCAACAGGAACTGAGGCCATGGATAGAAGGACACATTCATGTTATTTTTTTCTAATGGTTAAGTAATTATTTGCTCTTACTCTCAAAATTTCTGCCAAGGCCTCCCATGGACCAAACTCAACTAGAATCTAGGAAGCAGAGAACCTGAGTGTTGCATTCAGCAGAAGTCAGCTTCCTAGGGAATATTGCAGGAAGGGTGAAGGTAGAGAATCTGGTGGGGAAGCAAGCAAATGCCCATCACATGCACTTTCCTCCAACAGAGCGACTCAGATGCTATAAAACTTGCTAACGCAGTCTCAGGGTCTGATCACAGTAACATACAATCCAGGTTTTAATCATCAGAAATCGCAGTCCTATTGTCTTCTGCACAGACCCAAACACACTTGGAGGTCATGTTCAATATGAATACCTCACAGAGAAGGAAATTTACACACGAGAAGTACATCTGCAGAAAGCCAGCTGGCATGTCAACCATTCGAAAACTCAGGGTGTTCGGGATAAAGAAGACTCAGGAAGACAAGTATGAAGCATAATCTGTGACATTATTGATATCTTCCTGATATCAATATTATTGATATCTTCCTGAAGAACATAATTCCTGCCTACCATCAACAAGCATCAATACTTTCTACCAGCTATTCTCAACCCTCATCATCGGAAGAGACAGACACTGACTGTGTCAAAGTATTAGTCCCATCATTCAGCAATTAACTTTAGCTCAATGCTTCAAAAATTCTTCAGGCCCTGTGTAATTTCAGCTATGTACATTAATGATGAGTACCCATACAACCATTCTGTTTCTTATTTTCAGTACCATATTTAATAAATATCAGTTATTCAATACTTTATTTAGACATTTTGTTAGATTATTTTGACCAATGAAGTCTAATCTAAATGTTCTGAGCATGTTCAAAGTAAGCTAGGCTAACCTATAATTTTTGGTGTGCTAAATGCATTTTTAACTTATGATATTTTCAGTTTACGGGGGTTTGTTGGGACATAACTTCATCATACATCAAGGAGCATCTGTATATGGGATATAGTTAAAGCAGTGATCAGAGGAAAATCTATAGCCTTAACACATTTATTAATAAAAGTGTAGGAATTAAATTATCAGCTGAAAAATGTAAAAAGTATATAAAAGAGTAAGCAGAAAGTACAAGAAAGAACCCATAGTAGAAAAAAGTGAAAATTAATAAAATAAGAAGCCAAAAAACAGATCAAATCAGTAAACCAAAAATCTTGTTCTTTAAACAAATCAACAAAGTTGACAAAAAATTAGATCTTTTAATCATGAATAAAAAAAGAGAAAGCACAAAAATGAATAAGGAATGGTGAGAGAAATAACTATTGATAATCAGCAAATAAAAAATCATTAAAAACAATGTTGTTCACATCTATGAAAAACATTGAAAGCTAGAGGGAATGGGTAATTTTCCAGAAAAATACAATTCACCACAATTGACTTCAAAAAAAAAAAAAAGAAGTACAGCACTTATGTGAGCAATTTCCATAGAGAAATACAGTTGTCATGGAATTATAACACACACACAAACACTAGGTTTAGATGTTTTCACAGAGAATTCCACCAAACCTTTAGAAATCAGATCATCCAAAGGCAAATTAACAGCCCTCAGCCATTTGAGGCAAAATATTACAATTGAGGCAAGATATACTGTACTGAAAACTTGAGGAAAAAGCAGGAGAGAAAGTTCCTTTGGGAAATTCGAATACTCAAAAGTGCTTACATACAATGAAAAATTTGGAAATCCATAAGCATGGCCAAGGTGGGACACATGCTCAGAAAAGGCCTGAGAAGACACTAATAACTCACCTTTAGTAATTCCTAGGCTCACAGCAAGAAAAAATGAAGGCTAAGGCAGAATTATATATGGCTCCGCTAAGTGTTGAGGGAGCCCCAATACAGAGTCAGTAAGCAAAGTCTGGGAGATGTTTTTCATATTTTTTTCTTTTTTGGCTCCTTGCAGTCAAGGAAATCATTTTTAAATCACTAAATGCTAAATGAACACAAGCTAAAGGAACCGAGCCGCCTTCAAACATCAAACATAAAAAAGAATGCAGATATTACAAAACCAGTTTACAAAAGTTACTAAACAAATAAAAACTACATCCCACAGTGGGTAACAAAAATAACCTTGAAGAAGGGAAAAATTTGGTTTCCAGAATAAACACATTATAATATCCAAAATGTCCAGTTTTCAACAAAAATTAAGAAGCATGCAAATAAACACAAAACTATGGCCCATTTACAGAAGAAATAAATGAGACTCTCCCTGAGTAAGCAGATATTGGAAATATTAGACAAAAACTTTATATAACTGTCTTAAATAAACTTAAAGAGCTAAAGAAACCCAAGAGAATGACATATAAATAAATAAGAAATATGAATTTTTTAAAAGGTACAAAAAAATTCTGAGGCTGAAAAGTACAATAACTAATTAAAAAGTTACTTTTTACTTAGGGTTCCAATAGAAGATTTGAGCAGCTGGAAAAAAGAATCAGTGAACTTGATAGATCAAGTGAAATGATTCAGTCTGAAGAGCAGGAAAATGAAAGAATGACAACAAAAAAGAATAGAGCCTAAAGACCTGTGTAACAACATCAAGAATGCCTACATACAGAATCCTGGTGGGGAGTGAGGGGCAGGAAGACTATTTGAAGAAATGTGTTTGAAAGCTTCCCAAATTTCACTAAAAACAAATATACACATTCAAAAAGCTCAGTGAACTTCATCAAGGAAATATACAAAGATATTCACACCAAGACACACTATGTTTCAAATTGTCAAAAGGCAAAGCGAATGTTTGAAAGCAGCAAGAGAAAGGCAACGCGTCATTTACAAAGGATCCTCAATAAGTTTGACAGCAGATAGTGCATTATAATCCATGGATGTCAGAAGAGCTTAGGAAAAAGGCAATGCATCATTTACAAAGGATCCTCCGTAAGTTTGACAGCAGAGAGCTCATTATAAACCATGGGTGCCAGAAGAGCTTAGAATGACATTTTAAAGTTCTGAAAGAAAAAAACACTGTCAACCAAAAATTCTGTAACTTGGAAGATGCCCCTTCAAGTATTAAGGATAAATTACACATTCCCAGATTAAAAAAAAAGAGAGAGAGAGAAAGAGAAAGAAAGAAAGAAGAGAGAGAAAGAAAGGGAGAGAAAGAAAAAGAAAGAAAGAAAGAAAGAAAGAAAGAAAGAAAGAAAGAAAGAAAGAAAGAAAAAGAAAGAAAGAAAGAAAGAAAGAAAGAAAAAAGAAAGAAAGAAATAAAGAAAGAAAAAGAAAGAAAAGAAAGAAAGAAAAGCAAGCAAGCTTTAAAAGTTCATGTTTGGTAGGCTGTACTTCAAGATACACTTTTAAAAAAAAAGACTCCTTCAGATACAAACTAAAAAACACTAGAAAGTAACTCAAAACCACATAAAGAAATAACTCCAGTAAGGATAACTACATAGGTAAATATAAAAGCAATTATCATATTTTTTGTAAGTCTTTTTAAATATTCTATATGTTTTAAAACAAATGTGTAAAATAATGACTATAAATCTATGTTAATGAAGCATGATATATAAAGATGTGGTTTGTGAAATTACCAACATAAAGAAATTCATAGGAAACTAAATAATAATAGAGATTTTGTATACTATTGAAGTTGTTTCAATTTACTCTAAATTGTTCCAAATTAAGAATGTTAATTGTAAATCCCCATGGTAACCACTAAGTTAATATCTTTTGAAAATACAGAAAAGGAAAGCAGAGGGTAAACACAGTGATATGCTACAAAATAGCAACTAAACACAAAAGAAGGCGATAATTGAGGAAATTAGGAACAAAGGAGGTATAAGACATACAGAAAACAAAAGCAAAATGGTAGGAGTAAGCCCCTCTTTATCAGTAATTACATTAAATACAAATGAATTAAACTCTCCAATCCAAAGAAAGAGATTGACAGAATGGATTTTTAAAAAATGATCCAACTATATTGTCCACAAGATACTCACTTTAGATCAAAATACACAATGAGTTGAAATGAAAGGATGGGAGAAAATATTCCATGTAAGTAATAACCAAAGGAGATCTGAGGCAAATATACTTATATCAGACAAAATAGACTTTAAGTCAAAAACTGTTACAAAATACAAAGAACAGTATATATTGATTTCAAAATTAAACAAGAAGATATAACAATTATAAATATATGTACACCAACTAACAGGGCTCCAAAATATATAATGTAACCATTGAGAGAATTAAAGGGAGAGACAGACAATTCCACGAAAATTGTTGGGCATTTTAAAACCCAACTTTAATAAAGGACAAAACATCCAGAGCAAATATCAAGGGAGGAATTAGAGGATTTGAATAAAACTATAAGCAATAACTATAGATAACACTTCTCTCAAAAACTGCAGAATACACATTCTTCTCAAGTGAACATGGAACATTCTCCAGCACAGATGATATGTTAGGCCATAAGATAAGCTCAATAAACTTAAAAAGATTGAAATCATGCAAAGTATCTTCACTGACCACAATGGAATGAAATAAGATATCAATAACAAAAGAAAAACTAGAAAATTTACAAATATTTGGAAATTAAACAACACAGTATTTACCAACCAATGAATCAAAGAACAAATCATGAGGGAAATTAGAAAATGTTTAGAGACGATTGAAAACAAAGATATAACAAGATGGGTGTGATATATCAAAAGCAGTGCTCAGAGTTGTAACACCTACATTTTAAAAAAGAAACATGTCAAATCAATAACCAAACTTTACTCAATAAACCATAAAAGGAAGAGCAAACAAAATCCAGAGCTAGCAGAAGGAAGGAAATAAAGATTAGAGCAGAGATAAATGAAATTGAGAATTAAAAAATTATACAGAGATCAACAAAACTAAAAGTTGGTTCTTTTAAAATATCAATAAAATTAATATACTTTTACATAGACTAAGCAAAACATCTCTATTCAGCTGACTTTTTTTTACAAGGGAGCCAACATTATTCAGTGGGGAATAATAGCTTTTTCAACAAAAAGTGCTGGGAATACTGAATATTCATATGCAAAAAAAATGAAGCTGGACCCCTACCTCACATTATATACAAAATCTAGATTGGATCAATAATGTAAATATACGAGTGAAAACCATACATGCTTAGAAGAAAACATGGAAATAAAACATTGCTGTGGATTGGCAATGCATTCTTAGATAATACACCAAAAATACAAGCATGAAACAAACAAATGTAGCCAAAATGTACCAGAATCTGAAAACATGTATTATCTATAAAGAATTAGAGGGGAATTTGGTGAAAGAAATATGGGAGAATGGGATATTGCTCTGTGAATGCTTTTGTGCATAATTGTACATTTTTAATTAAGTTAATCTTTTACACTCTCAAAGTGTGATATTAAGCAAGCAAAGATAAGTTATTACAAGACTCTAAAACGGAATGCAATGAGAAACAAGTGAATCCAAATATATTTCAAATGAATGAATGACATAATCAAACTTAAGGGGAAAATAATAATTAATCTGATTAATTTTTGACTGTTCTCTTATTTCAAATTGACTTTTGAACATACTTTGACTACATACTATTGCTTGAAAAAATAAAATATCTGCAAAAAATTATTAAATCTTCATGATAGGATTTTTTCTTTTTATATTAGTATAAATATAACAATTCTGAAACAAATGTATGTGCATTGTAAGATTAAGCCAATGAGTAAATATTAATATATTTGTATTGCTAGAACCCCAGATTCTCACTGTGAAAGGACAGAGATACAGATATGGAATAAGACAAGGAAAGAAGCAGCCCACTGAGTTACATTAGAATCAGTATTATCAACATAAATATACAATGTGCTCTCTCACATGCTCTTTCCTTCTCTTAAAAAATATATAATATGTACATATTATATATTATATGCATAGACACACGTGTGTCTATACATATCCTACATGTACATATTGAGGATTAACAGGTGCTAGTAGAAAATATTAACTTTCTTTGTATTAACAGGTGTTAGTAGAAAGTAGTAGTAGGTGCTAAGATAAAAGCCATAATTAAACCTCCTGGTGAATGAACACACCATCACCTACAATCTTACCAAAAATAGAATCAAGCACGTGTCCTAGTCAAACCTCTGGATTCAACTGTCATTTGGATAAAATGCAAAGGATAGTGAAAATGTCGATCTTCACTGAGAGTCTAACCAGCAAATTTCACAGTGTGGACATCAAGTGACAAAAATCCCACATTTTTCAACAAATATATTGTATGGGAAAGAAAACTTTGAAAAGAAACGTGTATGTTAGAAGGGATTTTAAAAACACGACAAATGAAAAAAAATGGGCAAGACTAAATCATAGTGTCTTGGAATGCATACATGAAGGACACAGCCGTGAAAATGCAAGGACGCCTCTATTGGAACAGTCATGTTTATCGTCACTTTTCAGGAGAAAGGTGGCTGCAATTGAGGAGAGTCACATGCAGGACTTCAGGGCTGGCAAAGTCCTATATCTTGACTTATGTGATGATTACAGGGATGTTTACAAAAATCAAACTATAAGTTTGTTTTGTGCCATGTTTTGTATTGTGTGTGTGTGTTTTGTTTTTCAACTTAAAAATAAATAAAATCAAAACCAAGGCTTCATTATCAAGTAGCACAAAGTCTCCAATCTATAATCTCCTTTGTCTGGATATCTGCATTTAACTACCATTGTCAGAGCTAATCCTGACAATGCATTCATATTTTTAACACTGAAACACAGTAAACAGGGAAAATTTTGCTCCTCTAAAACAGGGCATCTTCAGGCAATCAGAACAACTCAGAAAGTTTCTGTCTGTTGCATAAAACTCCCCTGTGCAAAGAGTTACACAAAATGCTGTCATAGTAAAGGTAGTTAACTAACGGCACTAATTGTTCTTGGGCAGTGGCCAAGTGGAACTTCAGAGACCTGGCATTGCCAGCCAGAAATCACTTGTCATGGGAATTGTCTCCTGGAATCACTTTGGTTGTCCCAGGGTAACGCAGGGAAAGTGGTTAATGGGTCACTTGGGGGTGGCATCTTCATCAGTAAATCACATTTACTTTCTCCTACTAAGAATTTTATTTTTGGCCATGAAGCCAAAAGTCAGCTCTTAAATAACAAGGGAAGCAAATAATCATTGAATAAAAATAGCAGAAAGAAAAAGCTGTGCAAAGAAATTTATGTTATTAATTTGTTATATATGTATATTTTTATCATACTTTAAGTTCTAGGGTACATGTGCACAATGTGCAGGAATAAAATTTATGTTTTTAAAATTTATTCTACATTATGAATTCTACATTAGAAAAATAAACCATAGCCTCATCACAGGCACTTAAATACACTGAAGCTGCCAAAACAATCTATCGTTTTGCCTACGTACTTATCAACTTCCTCATAGCAAACTGGGAGAAAAAAGCAATGGAATGAATAAAATGATAGCCACAAAAATCAAGGTGGGAGAAATACTTATTATATGTCCATAAAAAATTTTAATTAATGCAAAGTATTAACACCAATGATTGCAGTAATACAGATCTTACAAATGATAGTTTTAGTCTGAACAGGACTATCCAAAAGTTAATTTTCTATAGTAACAGTTTTTAAGTAAAATATCAATTCCTGAAACACATAAAATGGTCCATGAGTATACAACGAGTGAAAAAAAACAAATTCAGAGCAAAGATAAATTAAGAAGTATCTAATATTCAAACATAGTCAAAGAGAGGGAAATTTCTGGATAATCACTTAAACCCATGGTTAAACATAAATGCACATATGTTAATGTTTACTGAATAACTTATCTGTGCCAAGTGGTGTATTAATGATTCATTTTTATTTTTCACTAAATCTTTTCTCTAAAGTTGGTGTAGCCTGCAACTAAATGCAAGAAATCTGACCTAGGACCTGCACTTCTTACCATTTTGCTCATATTTATTCCCTGTGCATTTTTGTAACATGTATATGTTATATATATAGAAAGAGAGAGAGGCAGAGATGGAAAGTAATTTATGGAGTTTGATGTTATGTCAGGGTAATTACATGATTATATAATTAACAGGTTTCTTTTTAAATCAGCTATATCAATAGAAAAATAAATGTAGGAATCAAGAGACTCATTCTGTCCATCTGTGATAGTTCCATCATGATACTGCATTGTCAAGTCATTGCTCCAAAAATATGGTTTAGCTCAACACTGAGTGACTATAGGAAACCAGAAACCAGGCTGGGCGCTAAAGATGCAAAGATGAATGAGACATCATCTCTGCCGTCCAAAAGCTTACTGTCTAGTGGGAGAGTTACACACGTAAGGACAGTAATCTAATAAGAGCTAATAAGTGAAAACTAAGATAAGTTAATAATACAAGATTACAGGGAAGGTTTCCAAAGTCAATGAGGCCTCAAATGAGTCTTGAAAGTGTGCAAGGATTAACCAAATGAAGAAATGTGTAAGTTTTTCAAACAAAAAGGCACAGCATGAGCAAATGCAAGGAGGCCTAAAATAAAGAGATGTGTAAAGAGGTGTAAGCAGCTTTGTGCTGCTGCCTGATAATTAGAAGAATATCGGGAGTAACAAGAGCTATAGAAGAGAGTCACAATTACGGAAAAATATTTATTAAATTATAAGAAATTTATAGCATAAGGAATAGTAGGACCGTTAAATGTTTTAATAAAGATGATGCTTCTTTTTTTAATATTTATTTTTATTATACTTTAAGTTCTAGGGTACATGTGCACAACGTGCAGGTTACATATGTATACATGTGCCGTGTTGGTGTGCTGCACCCATTAACTCATCATTTACATTAGGTATATCTCCTAATGCTATCCCTCCCCTCTCCCCCCACCCCACAACAGGCCGCGGTGTGTGATATTCCCCTTCCTGTGTCCAAGTGTTCTCATTGTTCAAGTCCCACCTATGAGTGAAAACATGCGGTGTTTGGTTTTTTGTTCTTGAGATAGATGATGCTTTAAATTGACCACTCCAGCTGCATTGTGGGAGGAAAAAAGATTTTAGAACAAGACTAGAAACAGAATAATTAGAAAAATGCAACTACAATGCAGATGAGTGATTATCAAGGTCTGAACTGAATAGTGGAAATAGAGATAAGGAGGCAAATTCAAGATATGTGCGTGACAGTAAAATTAACATGACCTGGTGTTTGATTGACTCTGTAAAGTGAAAGGAAAGGATGAATAATCAACAAATAATATTTATTCTACCAAATGCCTCCATGCCGCTTTGATGACAGGATAATATGTAAGCTTTTCTATATTTCAGAAACTATATGACATGACGAAAAGTAAAAAGGGGATGGGGGTAAGGAGGTATCCTGAATTGACTGAGAAATAAGGAGGTATTCCACAGAGAATATAAAAAAACATATACTTAGTGTTCAAGGAATAATAAAAAAGAGAACATCTATGTGTCCACCATACAGGATATGAAATAGAACATTTGCCGGCCATGGTGGCTCACACCTGTAATCCCAGTACTTTGGGAGGCCGAGGTGGGAGGATCACTTAAGCCCAGGACACAGGTTGCAGTGAGCCAAGATCACACTATCGTACTCCAGCCTGGGCCACCATGTCTCAGAAAAATAAAAAAACTAGATGTCTTGGAGGATTGGAAACAAAATAGAACTTTACTAGTGCCTTAGACGCCCATTGGGTGCTCCTTGCCAATTGTGTTCTCCTTTATTTCCTGCTGGATATGACCACTGTCCTTCCATTGCATTGTATGTGTTTTTTAATAGACTTTAATGGTTCTCAAGTGATGCATTATTTAGTTTGGTTCTTTGAAACTTATATAAATGAAATTATTTTGTAGAAGTTCTTTCACCTTTATCAGAAGGTACTTTCACCTTGATTCAATAATAAGTTTGCATATTACAACCTTGTTGAATGTTGGTGTAATTCATCCATTCGTATTGCTATATGATATTCCACTACAAGAATATGTCAGACTTCATTCCTCAGATCTATTGTTGATGAACACTTGAAATTTTTCCAGTTTTTAACCATTACAAACAATGCTGCTATGAACATTCTTTTGTAAATCACCTGGTTCATATGTGCAAGATATCCTCTGGGGTATATATTTAAAAGTAAAATTATTGAGTTATTCAACATTACCATGAAATGCTACACTATTTTTTTTAACAATCCTACCAATTTACACTTCTACCACGAACAGATAAGCATTACCATTGGTCTTCATTTGTAGGAACCATATTTGTCTTTTGCTCTGGGGGCTTTGTTTTGTTTTGCTTTGTTTTTTGCTTAGAAGTGCTTTGGCTATTAGGGATCTTTTTTTGGCTCCATGTGAACTTTAGGATTTTTTTTTAATTTTGTGAGAAATAACGTTGGTAATTTGATGGGAATTGCATTAACTCTATAGATTGTATGGGTGATATGGTCACTTTAGCTATTGATTTTTCTAATCCATGAGCATGGGATGTTTTTCCATTTGTTTATGTCATCTATAATTTCTTTCATTAGTATTTTGTAGTTCTCCTTGTAGAGATCTTTCATTTATATAGTTATGCATTCCTAGGTATTTTTCATGGCTATTGTAAATTCAGTTGAGTTCTTAATTTGGTTCTCAACAAATTAATCTCAACAAACATTCAAACAGCTTGAATGTATTTGGTGTATAGAAATACAACTGATTTTTGTGGCTTGTTTATCCCAAGACTTTACTGAAGTCGTGTATCAAGTCTAGGAGTCTTCTGAAGACTTTAGGGTTTTCTAGGCCTACAGTCATGTCATCAGTGAGCAGAGATCATTTGACTTCTTTTCTAATTTGTATACCTTTTATTTCTTTCTCCTTTCTGATAGTTCTGGCTAGCACTTCCAGTACTGTATTGAATAGGAATGATGAAGGTGAACATCCTTGCTTTTTTCCAGTTTCTAGAAGCAACACTTCTAACTTTTGCCCATCCAGGATGATGTTGGCTGTGGCTTTGTCATAGATGACTCATTTTTTGAGGTATACTCCATCTATACCTATATTGTTGAGGGTTTTTATCATAAACAGATGTTGGATTTTATCAAATGCTTATTCTGCATCTAATGAGATGATCATAGGGTTTTTGTTCTCAGTTCCATTTATGTGGTGAATCATGTTTATTGATTTGTCTATTTTGAACCATTCAAGCACCCCTGGAATAAAGCCCACTTGATCATGATGAATTATCTTTTTGATGTGTTGTTAGCTTCAGTTTGCTAGAATTTTGTTGAGTATTTTTACATCTGTGTTGATCAGGGATAAGGATTTGTAGTTTTCTTTTGTGTTCTTTTTAAAATTTTCCTTGTTAATTTTACTGCACAGTATTATTTTAATGATGAATAAAGTGTTGAGCTGGACATGTGTACCTTGTTCCTCATGTTAGAATGAAACTGTTTAATATGTCATGATTATTTATAATGTTGAGAGTAGTTTTTGTGTATATATTAAGATATTTACATCAGTTCTCTTCTATTCCTAGTTTGTTATTATTACAAATAGTTTCAAATGTGAACAAGTGCTTTTCCCACAGCTATTGAAATAACCATATTTTTTTCTTTTATTCAGTTAATGTGGTTAATTTCATTGTTTGGTTTTCTAATTTTAAACCATACATTCTTGAAATTACTGCACTTAGTCACGATGTATTTTTCTTTGGAGTATATTGTTGGATTATATTTGCAAACATTTTTGTTTAGAATTATTATGTAGTATATTAGTCTGTAATTTCATTTCTTTTAATATCCTTGTATGGTTTTACTATCATGGAGGTACCACCATATAAAACAAGTTGGAAAGTGTTATGTCTTCCCAATTCTCTAAAAATATTCATGTAACATTGGCATTATTTCTTTATTAAATATTTGGTAATATTTCTTTATTAAATATTGCATCCACCTAGCCCTGGAGTTCTTTCTACAGGAAAAAAAAATTTTCTAAATAAAATTTCTACAATGAAAAAAAAACTACTCAGTTTTTCTAGTTTTTTTCTGATCATTTCATAAAAGTAGGTATTTTTCATAGGAACTTGACCATTCCTTATGATTGTCAAATTTATTAATATAAAGTTTCATATTTTATATTTATTTTATCAGATAAATAAAATTATATGTTTTGAAATATATATTCATTGTAAAATAGCCATGTTAAGCTAACATATGCATTACCTTACATGCTTATCTTTTTTTATGAGAACACTTAAAAATCTACTCTTAGCAATTTTGAAGAATACAAGTACATCCCCTATGGAGAACAGTTTGAAGGCTCCTCAAAAAAGTAAAAATAGAGCTACCATGTGGTCCAGCAATCCCACTGCTGCATATATACCCCCCAAAAAAGAAATCAGTATATCGAAGAGATATCTGCACTCCCGTATTTGTTGCAGCACTATTTACAATAGCGAAGTTATGGAGTCAACCTAAGTGTCCATCAACAGATGAATGAATAAAGAAAATGTGGTACTTATATACAATGAAGTATTATTCAGCCATAAAAAGGAATGAGACCCTGTCATTTGCAACAACATAGATGAAACTGGAGGTCATTATGTTAAGTGAAATAAGCCAGGCACAAAAAGACAAATACTATGTGTTATCACTTATATGTGGAATCCAAAAAGCAAACAACTGAACTCATGGAGATAGAGAGTAGAAGGAAGTATACCAGAGGCTGTGAAGGGTAGTGGGGGTTGGGAGAGGTGGGGGATGGTTAATGGGTACAAAAAAAGAAAGATTTAATAAGACCTAGTATTTGATAGCACAACAGGGGGATTGCAGTCTAAAATTCAATTATACATTTAAAAATAACTGAAAGAGTATAATTGGATTGTTTATAACACAAATAATAAATGCTTGAGGGGATGAATATCCAATTTTCCATTATGCACTTATTGTACATTGCATGCCTGTACCAAAATATTTCATGTACCCCATAAATGTATACACCTGCTATGTACCCACAAAAATTAAATTTAAAAACAATACATTGTTATCCACTATAGTCACCATATTGCACAATAGATCTGTTGAATTCATTCCTCCTGTACAATGCAATTTTGTACCCTTTGACCAACATCTACCCAATCCTCCTGGTAACCATCATTCTACTCTGTACTTCTATGTGTTCAGCCTTCTTAGACCTCCACATACAAGTGAGATTATGCAGTATCTGGCTTTCTGTGCCTGGATTATTTTACTCAGTATAATGTCCTCCCGGTTCATTCATGTTGTCACAAATGATACTTTTTTTATTTTTTAAGGTTGTATACTATTCTATTGTGTATGTGTACCACATTTTCTTCATCCACTCATGTGTCGATGGATACTTAAGTTAATTCCACATCTTGGCTGTTGTGAATAATGCTACAATAAATATGGGAGTACAGATAACTCATTGACACACTGATTTGATATCTTTTTAATATATGCCCAGAAATAGCATTACTGAATCATATGGTAATTCTATTTTTACAGAATCACTTATACTGTCTTTTACAATGGCTGAAATAGTTTACATTCTCAACAATTACAAGGTTTTCCTTTTCTCCACATCCTCTCCAACACTTGGTATCTTCTGCCTTTTCTGTAACAGCCATTCTAACGGATGTGAAATGGCATTTTATTGTAGTTTTAATATGCATTTCTCTGATGATCAGTGATAATTAGCATTTTTATATATCTGTTGGCCATTTGTATGTCTTCTTTTGAGAAATGTCTATTTAGATCCTTTGTCAATTTTTCATTAGGGTTCCTTGTTTTCTTATTATTGTGTTGTTTGAGTTCCTAAGATATTTTGGACATTAGCCTCTTATCAAATGTATAGTTTGCAGATAATTCCTCCCATTTTGTAGGTTATCACTTCACTCTGTTGACTTTCTTTTGCTGCGCAGAAGCTTTTTAGGTTGATGCTATTCCATTTGTGTTTTGTTGCTTTTCTTGCCTGTGCTTTAGAGTCATATCATAAAATATTATTGCCCAGACCAATGTCTTGGAGTTATTCCCCTGTTTTCTTCTAGGAGTTCTATAGTGCTAGGTCTTACATTTAAGTCTAACTTATTTTGAATTTATATTTTTATATGGTATGAAATAAGGGCCTAAGATCAATCTTGTGGACATTCAGTTTTCTCAACACCATTTTTTGAAGAGACTGTTCTTTCCCCATGTGTGTTCCTGGCACCTTTGTTGAAAGTCAATTGACTATAATATGTAGATTTATTTATGGGCTCTTTATTCTGTGTAATTGGTCTATGTGTCTGCGTTTATGCCAGTACCATGGTGTTTCGATTGCTATAGCTATGTAGTATAATTTGAAGTCAGGTAATGTGATATCTCCTGCCTTGCTTTTTTCGATCAAGATTATTTTGGCTTTTCAGAGTTTTTTGTGATTCCATACAGATTTGAGAGTTGTTTTTCTATTTCTGTGGGAAAATGTCATAGGAATTTTGATAGAGATTGCATTCAATATGTACATCACTTTGGATAGTATGGACATTTCAAACATATTACTTTTTCCAATCCATGAACATGAGATATCTTTCCATTTATTTGTGGCTTCTTCAATTGTTTTCATCAATGTTTTGTAGTTTTCAGTGTAAAGATCATTCACCTCTTTGTTTAAATTTACATCTAAGTATTTTTTGTTGCTATTATAAATAGGATTGTTTTCTTGATTTCTTTTTTTGTATAGTTTGTTGTTGATGTGTAGAAATGCTACTGAATTTTGTATGTTCACATTGTATCCTGCAACTTTACTAAATTCATTTATGAATTCTAAATTTTTTGGCAGAGTTATTGGTGTTTTCTATATATAAGATCATGTCAACTGCAAACAGAAACAATTTAACTTCTTCCTTTCCAATTTTCATGCCTTTTATTTCTTTCTTTTGCCTAATTGCTCTGGCTAGGACATCCAGTACTATGTTGAATAGAAGTTCTGAGAGTGGGCACCCTTGTATGAAGTTTTCCACAACATCTCTTATCTTTTTATTAGCTATATATTAATAACGGATGTTTCTTCTTCATCAGGAGTTTGAAAAATATGTCTTTTCTCTATATTGTTCTTAATCAGTCTTCCTAGAAGTATTTCAATTTCAAAAAGTAGCAACAACTGTGGGAGTTCAGTCAGGCTGGTGGGAAAAATTTTAAAGATAGTTATAAGAAATCGACACAAACCTTCATGGAAGGCTGGGGGTGTTGTATAGCTTCAGTAATAGATCTGAATGAAGGCGGCCTAATCCTTCCTTGAGTAAATAGCTTAAAGTAGGTGCAAAGGAATGTAAGGGAGTTTATCTAAATAACTTGTTTACTCATGTGGTCCTGAAGCCAACCTTTGATCATTCACAGGCAGGATGGCTCTCTCTCGGGGGAGGGTGACCAGGTTAATTACCCTCTATTTGTGTTGACTAAAAGCCCCTGTCATTTAATGTTTTTTCAATAAATGCTGGCAGGGCTAGCTAGTCAGGGCTCGTGGCTGCCAGAACTCTTTCTGTGCACGGCCCAGCCCCCTAGCGGCTCTTTCACTGAATAATTGGTGTCTGAGTACATTATTCATCCCTCGTGCAGCTGGGGTCTGCAGGACAGACCCCCACAAACAACAATTTGCAAAAGCAAACTTCCCTGTTTTGTTTTTTTCCCAAGATGATAAATTAGAGGCTTTTAGTGTGCCTCGGCCACTTAGAAATAGCAAGAGAGTGCACAAAGGTCAACTCTGTGAGCTCTAAGTCAAGAAGGAAAATGGGAATCCACCAGAATCATGAAGGACATCATAGATCCCAAGAAGGAGAATGTGAGCAAACAGTCAACATGACAGCAACCAGCTTATAAAAGTGAGCGAAGTCCTAGTATGTGAGAGAGGCAGAGAGCCTCCCTCTGTAACTGACATTTTCACTGTGAATCTGAGCAACCCCAGCCAAGTTGTTGCATTTTGTTTCTCCCAAGGCCTGGAGTCAACATGGGGAGAGGCTTGGAGATGCTGTGAAGCAAAGACACTGGGAACAGCTGCAGACATTTTCCCAGACCAGGAAGTAAGAGCAAGATGCCATTTTCAATCTGGATGCATGCAAAGTCAGCTTTTTTTTTTCTTTTTGTGACCCAGCAGAATGCCTGCACAGGCATTTTAGTCTCAGGCCAAAGATTGGAACAACTGCTTTGGGGCTTGGTAGGGACCTTCACAGCCATATTGTGGGAAACACCTCAGCAGTATGTGCTGGAATTGTGCTTTCCCCCATCGCAGCCTCGGGGCAACAGAAAAGCTGCTACAGCTGTAATTTCTCCCAGGTGATGAAACTTGCAGCCAGGGCCAGCTTGGAGACCTACAACCAGTCTGCAGGTGTCATTGCTGGGTGCCCCAGCCTGTTCCCCTGAGAATGTGATACAGCAGGGCTTTCTCTGCTTCACCCCCAGGCAGAAATTCAGGCATTGGAGCACCTGTCTACCTGGACCAGCATCCTGAGCTACCCCACCGTTTGTAAACATAGGTTGTGGTGCAGTGGGGCCCTCTCCAGTCTATGGCCAGGCAGATTTCCAGGTATGTGGAGTACCCACTTGACTGGATCAGCAGCCTGAGCTTCCCCAACCTTCCTGTGCTGAGATTATAGTGCAGTGAGGCCCTCTCATCTCCACACATAGGCAGACCTCCAAGCAATTAGAGCACCTGCTCCTATGGAGAACTTAAATTTACAAGAAAAAAAAAAACCATCAAAAATTGGCCAAAGGACATGAACAGACAATTCTCAAAAGAAGACATGGATGTGGCCAACAAACATATGAAAAAAAGCTCAAATCACTGATCATTAGAGAAATGCAACTCAAAACCACAATGAGATACTATCTCAAACCAGTCTTAATGGTGATTATCAAAAACTCCAGAAACAACAGTTGCTGGTAAGGCTGTGGAGAAATAGGAATGTTTTTACACTGTTTGTGGGAATGTAAATTAGTTCATTCACTGTGGAAGGCAGTGTGAAAATTCCTCAAAGATCTAGAACCAGAAATGCCATTTGCCCCAGCAATCCCTTTACTGGATATATGCCCAAAGGAATATAAATCATTCTATTATAAAGATACATGCACAGGGCTGGGTGCAGTGGCTCACACCTGTAATCCCAGCACTTTGGGAGGCCAAGGCGGGTGGATCACCTGAGGACAGGAGTTTGAGACCAGCCTAGCCAACATGGGGAAACTCCATCTCTACTAAAAATACAAAAATTAGCCAGGTATAGTGGTGCACACCTGTAATACCAGCTACTTTGGAGGCTGAGGCAGGAGAATCGCTGGAACCCAGGAGGCAGAGGTCAAAGTGAGCCAAGATCATACCATTGCACTCCAGCCTGGGCAACAAGAGCAAAACTCCATCTCAAAAAAATATATATATATACATATACATACATATATATACACATATATATACATATATACAGATATTATATATGTAAATGTATATATATGTGTATATATACACACATATATATACACATATATATACATATTATAACTACATATATATACACACACACATACATATACATGCACACATATGTTTATTGCAGCACTATTTACGATAGAAAATACATGGAATCAACCCAAATGCCCATCAATGATATATTGGATAAAGAAAATGTGATATATATTCACCATGGAATACTATGCAGCCATTAAAATAAATGAGATCATGTTCTTTGCAGGGACATGGATGAAGCTGGAAGCCATCACCCTCAGCAAACTAACACAGGAACAGAAAACCAAACACCACATGTTCTCAGTCGTAAGAGGGAGTTGAACAATGAGAGCAAACACATGGATACATGGAGGGGAACAACACACACCAGGGCCTCTCAGGGGGACAGGGGTAGGAGACCATCAGGACAAACACGTGGGTACATGGAGGGGAACAACACACACCAGGACCTCTCAGGGGGACAGGGGGTAGGAGACCATCAGGACAAACACGTGGGTACATGGAGGGGAACAACACACACCAGGGCCTCTCAGGGGGACAGGGGGTAGGAGACCATCAGGACAAACACGTGGATACATGGAGGGGAACAACACACACCAGGGCCTCTCAGGGGGACAGGGGTAGGAGACCATCAGGACAAACACGTGGGTACATGGAGGGGAACAACACACACCAGGACCTCTCAGGGGGACAGGGGGTAGGAGACCATCAGGACAAACACGTGGGTACATGGAGGGGAACAACACACACCAGGACCTCTCAGGGGGACAGGGGGTAGGAGACCATCAGGACAAACACGTGGGTACATGGAGGGGAACAACACACACCAGGGCCTCTCAGGGGGACAGGGGGTAGGAGACCATCAGGACAAACACGTGGGTACATGGAGGGGAACAACACACACCAGGACCTCTCAGGGGGACAGGGGGTAGGAGACCATCAGGACAAACACGTGGGTACATGGAGGGGAACAACACACACCAGGGCCTCTCAGGGGGACAGGGGGTAGGAGACCATCAGGACAAACACGTGGGTACATGGAGGGGAACAACACACACCAGGGCCTCTCAGGGGGACAGGGGGTAGGAGACCATCAGGACAAACACGTGGGTACATGGAGGGGAACAACACACACCAGGGCCTCTCAGGGGGACAGGGGGTAGGAGACCATCAGGACAAACACGTGGATACATGGAGGGGAACAACACACACCAGGGCCTCTCAGGGGGACAGGGGTAGGAGACCATCAGGACAAACACGTGGGTACATGGAGGGGAACAACACACACCAGGGCCTCTCAGGGGGACAGGGGGTAGGAGACCATCAGGACAAACACGTGGATACATGGAGGGGAACAACACACACCAGGGCCTCTCAGGGGGACAGGGGGTAGGAGACCATCAGGACAAACACGTGGATACATGGAGGGGAACAACACACACCAGGGCCTCTCAGGGGGACAGGGGGTAGGAGACCATCAGGACAAACACGTGGATACATGGAGGGGAACAACACACACCAGGGCGTCTCAGCGGGACAGGGGGTAGGAGACCATCAGGACAAACACGTGGGTACATGGAGGGGAACAACACACACCAGGGCCTCTCAGGGGGACAGGGGGTAGGAGACCATCAGGACAAACACGTGGATACATGGAGGGGAACAACACACACCAGGGCGTCTCAGCGGGACAGGGGGTAGGAGACCATCAGGACAAACACGTGGGTACATGGAGGGGAACAACACACACCAGGACCTCTCAGGGGGACAGGGGGTAGGAGACCATCAGGACAAACACGTGGGTACATGGAGGGGAACAACACACACCAGGGCCTCTCAGGGGGACAGGGGGTAGGAGACCATCAGGACAAACACGTGGGTACATGGAGGGGAACAACACACACCAGGGCCTCTCAGGGGGACAGGGGGTAGGAGACCATCAGGACAAACACGTGGATACATGGAGGGGAACAACACACACCAGGGCCTCTCAGCGGGACAGGGGGTAGGAGACCATCAGGACAAACACGTGGATACATGGAGGGGAACAACACACACCAGGGCCTCTCAGGGGGACAGGGGGTAGGAGACCATCAGGACAAACACGTGGGTACATGGAGGGGAACAACACACACCAGGGCCTCTCAGGGGGACAGGGGGTAGGAGACCATCAAGACAAACACGTGGATACATGGAGGGGAACAACACACACCAGGGCCTCTCAGGGGGACAGGGGGTAGGAGACCATCAGGACAAACACGTGGGTACATGGAGGGGAACAACACACACCAGGGCCTCTCAGGGGGACAGGGGGTAGGAGACCATCAGGACAAACACGTGGGTACATGGAGGGGAACAACACACACCAGGGCCTCTCAGGGGGACAGGGGGTAGGAGACCATCAGGACAAACACGTGGGTACATGGAGGGGAACAACACACACCAGGGCCTCTCAGGGGGACAGGGGGTAGGAGACCATCAGGACAAACACGTGGATACATGGAGGGGAACAACACACACCAGGGCCTCTCAGGGGGACAGGGGGTAGGAGACCATCAGGACAAACACGTGGGTACACGGAGGGGAACAACACACACCAGGGCCTCTCAGGGGGACAGGGGGTAGGAGACCATCAGGACAAACACGTGGGTACATGGAGGGGAACAACACACACCAGGGCCTCTCAGGGGGACAGGGGGTAGGAGACCATCAGGACAAACACGTGGATACATGGAGGGGAACAACACACACCAGGGCCTCTCAGCGGGACAGGGGGTAGGAGACCATCAGGACAAACACGTGGGTACATGGAGGGGAACAACACACACCAGGACCTCTCAGGGGGACAGGGGGTAGGAGACCATCAAGACACACACGTGGATACATGGAGGGGAACAACACACACCAGGGCCTCTCAGGGGGACAGGGGGTAGGAGACCATCAGGACAAACACGTGGATACATGGAGGGGAACAACACACACCAGGGCCTCTCAGCGGGACAGGGGGTAGGAGACCATCAGGACAAACACGTGGGTACATGGAGGGGAACAACACACACCAGGGCCTCTCAGGGGGACAGGGGGTAGGAGACCATCAGGACAAACACGTGGATACATGGAGGGGAACAACACACACCAGGGCCTCTCAGGGGGACAGGGGGTAGGAGACCATCAGGACAAACACGTGGGTACATGGAGGGGAACAACACACACCAGGGCCTCTCAGCGGGACAGGGGGTAGGAGACCATCAGGACAAACACGTGGGTACATGGAGGGGAACAACACACACCAGGGCCTCTCAGGGGGACAGGGGGTAGGAGACCATCAGGACAAACACGTGGATACATGGAGGGGAACAACACACACCAGGGCCTCTCAGCGGGACAGGGGGTAGGAGACCATCAGGACAAACACGTGGATACATGGAGGGGAACAACACACACCAGGGCCTCTCAGGGGGACAGGGGGTAGGAGACCATCAGGACAAACACGTGGATACATGGACGGGAACAACACACACCAGGGCCTCTCAGGGGGACAGGGGGTAGGAGACCATGAGGACAAACACGTGGGTACATGGAGGGGAACAACACACACCAGGGCCTCTCAGGGGGACAGGGGGTAGGAGACCATCAGGACAAACACGTGGATACATGGAGGGGAACAACACACACCAGGGCCTCTCAGGGGGACAGGGGGTAGGAGACCATCAGGACAAACACGTGGATGCATGGAGGGGAACAACACACACCAGGGCCTCTCAGCGGGACAGGGGGTAGGAGACCATCAGGACAAACACGTGGGTACATGGAGGGGAACAACACACACCAGGGCCTCTCAGGGGGACAGGGGGTAGGAGACCATCAGGACAAACACGTGGGTACATGGAGGGGAACAACACACACCAGGGCCTCTCAGGGGGACAGGGGGTAGGAGACCATCAGGACAAACACGTGGGTACATGGAGGGGAACAACACACACCAGGGCCTCTCAGGGGGACAGGGGGTAGGAGACCATCAGGACAAATAGCTAATGCATGCAGGGCCTCATACCTAGGTGATGGGTTGATGGGTGCAGCAAACCACCATGGCACAGATTTACCTATGTATCAAACCTACACTTTCTGCACGTGTATCCCAGAACATAAAATAAAATTTAAAAAATATATACACTGATTCATGATCTCCTTTCTCTCCTTCTGAAACACTCTTTAAAACTTTTTAGCATTTCCCCCTCTGTCTTCCATGTCTCCTAACTACATGTTTCTTATTTTCCATGTCTTTATTCCTGTGTTCATTTTGGATAGCCCCTTCTGACCTATATTACAGTTTACTAGTTCACTCTTCAACTGCTTCTAACATACTAATATTCTGTTAAAACCATTCATTTGGGTTTAAATTTCAATTATGTTATTCTCTATGGACATTCTATTTGTTTTCTTTTAATCTTCTTGGCCATTCTCTAGAGTTTCCTGTTCCATTATGATATTTTTAATTTTTTGTTTTACTTTAAACATACTAAATATAGTTATTTTATTTTATTTTCTGTATCTGATACTTTCAATAACTGCAGTCTTTGCTAGTCTTTTTTCTGTGCTCTTGCTCATAGTTTTTTTCGTTTGTTTTCATGATTAGAAAAACAGAGAGAGAAGAAGGAGAGTAAAGGGAGGAGGAGGAGGAGAAAAGAAGAAAGCAGAGAAGAAGGGACAGAGAAAAAAAGGAAGTTGGTTCTAACGTTTCTCTAACAACTGGCTTCAGTGAAACACTCCCACCTTGTGGATTTTTAGGTTATTGAAATTAACCAGTCTTCTGGGTGCAGCACACCAACATGGCACATGTATACATATGTAACAAACCTGCACTTTGTGCACATGTACCCTAAAACTTAAAGTATAATAAAAAATAAAATAAAAAGCTACACAAATTTAAAAAAAAAGAAATCAACCTAATTCCTAGATTACCACCTCTTGATTCAAATGCTTTAAATCTAGGCTTTTCATCTGAGTCTTTCTTTTTAGTTATTCTGTTTACCTTCAAAACACTCCTGCTTTGAATCATTCAAAATCTACCTCCCTCCCTCTGTTTGACTACCATCAATTTTTTTGCTCATTCCTAATGCATTAATCTATTAGCTGTGAATATCCAAAAACCCTCATTTCACTGAATCTTTGACAGACCCCTTTGCATCCTCTTGTTCTTCTAATTATTTCCTCAGAAACTTTATGTTCTCTTTTCTTTACAAGCATGTCATAGTTTATATATAATGTGTGTATTGTTTTTATATATACCTATATATAGCCTCTTTTTAAAAGCACTATACCCCATGCTTTGAAATATATTCTAAAATCAGGTAGCATGAAAATGGAAACATAACATACTAAAACATATGGGATGCAACAAAAGCAGTTATAAGAGGGACATTTATAGCAATAAATGCCTACATCAAAAAAGAAAAAAAAGATCTCAAATAAGCAACCTAATATTATGCCTAAAGGAGCGAGAAAATTAGAGAACAATACAAGCCCAAAGATAGCAGAAGGAAACAAATAACAAAGATCAGAGCAGAAATAATATAATAGAAACTGAAAATTTCAATAAAAATAAGAATTGTTTTTTGAAAAGATAAACAAAATTAACAAATTCTTACATAGACTAAGAAAAAAGAAAACAAACTCATAAGTGAAAGAAGAGACATTACAACTGATACCACAGAAGTTAAAAAATCATAACATACTACTATAAACAATTATTCACCAGCAAATTAGATAACCTAGAAGAAATTGATAAACTCGTACCAAAACTGAATCATGAAGAATTCAAAATTTAGAAGAAATCATGAATAAGGAAATTAAATCACCAATGAAAGGTCTCTCATAAAAGAAAGACCCAGGATTGAATGGCTTGGTGGCTGAATTCCAACAAACACTTAGATGATTAACACCAATCCTTCCCAAACTCTTCCAAAAAAAATGAAGAAGAGGAATACTTCCAAATTCATTTTTCAAAACCAGCATTACCCTGATACCAAAACCAGAGAAGGACACTATAATAAAAATAAATTGCAGACCAATACTCCTGATGAACTTGGATGGAAAAACCTTCAGCCAAATATTAGCAAATATTATTTTTAAAAAAACACAGCAAAAAAATTCACCATGCTTAAGTGGGATTCATCCCTGGGAAGCTTATTAGTCTTATTTGATTCGTGTAATCAGAAAATTTCTATGTCTAGTGAAGAGAAATGAGAGCAATAGAGACTCATAGCACCTCAACAAATGTCCAGGCTTGAGCCAGTTAACAAATACAAGTCCTTCAAATACAAAAAAGACTGTGAAAGAAAATAGAACAGATCAATGAAACTAAGAATTTGTTCTTTGAAAAGATAAAACTGACAAACCATTAGCTAGACTAGAAAAATGAGAGAATACTCAAAGCAATAAAATCAGAAATGAAAGAGGAAATATTGCAACTAATACCACAGAAATACAGAGGATCATAAGGGGCCACTATAAACAATTACAAGCCAACAAATTGGATAACCTAGAAAAAGCAGATAAATTTCTAGAAAAATGCAACTTACCTAGAGAAAGTCAAGAAGAAAGATAAAATCTGAACAGAACAATACTGAGTATGGAGAGTATATCAATAATAAAACATCTCCCATCAAAGAACATCCCAGGACCAGAAAACTTCATTGCTGAATTCTAACATTTTAAAAAATAATAATACAATCCTTCTGAAATTCTTCCAAAAACTTGAAGGAGAAAGAGTATTTCCAAACTCATTTTAAAAGATCAGCATTATTGTTTTTTTTTAAAGTGATGTTCCCCTTCCTGTGTCCATGTGTTCTCATTGTCCAATTCCCACCTATGAGTGAGAACATGCGGTGTTTGGTTTTTTGTCCTTGTGATTGTTTGCTGAGAATGATGGTTTCCAGCTTCATCCATGTCCCTACAAAGGACATGAACTCATCATTTTTTATGGCTGCATAGTATTCCATGGTGTATATGTGCCACGTTTTCTTAATCCAGTCTATCATTGTTGGACATTTGGATTGGTTCCAAGTCTTTGCTATTGTGAATAGTGCCACAGTAAACATACGTGTGCATGTGTCTTTATAGCAGCATGATTTATAGTCCTTTGGGTATATACCCAGTAATGGGATGGCTGGGTCAAATGGTATTTCTAGTTCTAGATCCCTGCGGAATCACCACACTGTCTTCCACAATGGTTGAACTAGTTTACAGTCCCACCAACAGTGTAAAAATGTTCCTATTTCTCCACATCCTCTCCAGCACCTGTTGTTTCCTGACTTTTTAATGATGGCCATTCTAACTGGTGTAAGATGGTATCTCATTGTGGTTTTGATTTGCATTTCTCTGATGGCCAGTGATAGTGAGCATTTTTTCATGTGTTTTTTGGCTGCATAAATGTCTTCTTTTGAGAAGTGTCTGTTCATATCCTTTGCCCACTTTTTGATGGGGTTGTTTGTTTTTTTCTTGTAAATTTGTTTGGGTTCATTGTAGATTCCGGATATTAGCACTGGGGCCTGTTGTGGGGTGGGGGGAGGGGGGAGGGATAGCATTAGGAGATATACCTAATGTTAAATGATGAGTTAATGGGTGCAGCACACCAGCATGGCACATGTATACATATGTAACTAACCTGTACGTTGTGCACATGTATCCTAAAACTTAAAGTATAATTTAAAAAATAAATAAATAAAAATAAAAATAAAAAGGCAAACAAGGACACTATAAGAAAAGTATGGGCCAACCAATATCCCTGATGAACACAGATACAAAAGTCCTCAAAAAAAAGTACTAGCAAACAGAATTTAACAACATATTAGGAGAACATTTACCATGATAAAGTGGATTTATCCTCCAGATGTTTCAGCAAACACAAATCAAATGTGATAAACCACATTAACAGAATGAAGGATAAAAAAATAGCTATCTCTATATATGCAGAAAAAGCATTTGACTAAATTCAAAATCCTCTCATGACTAAACCTCTCAACAAATTGGGCATAGAAGGCATGTACCTTAACACAAAACAGGACATATATAACAAGCTCACAGCTCACATCATACCCAACAATGAAAAAGTGAAATCTTTTCTGCTAAGATCAAAAACAAGACAAGGATATTTATTCTCACTACTTCTATTCAACTTATTTCTGGAAGTCCTAGCCAGAGCAATTAAGCCAAATAAAGAAATAAAATATTCAAATTGAAAAGGAAGAAGTAAAATTGTCTCTGTTTGATGACATATTATATATAGGAAACCCTAAAAACTCCACCAAAAAGCTATTAGAAATGATAAATGAATTCAATAAAATTTCAGAATTCAAAATCAATGTACAAAACTCAGTAGTTTCTTTACACTCACAACAAACTATATGACAAAAATAAAGAAATCAATCTCATTCACAGTAGCATCAAAAAAAACGTATTTTTTTTGTTTAGGAGCACATTTAGGATAGTACTTAGGAGTACATTTAACCAAGGAGGTGAAAGATCTGTATTCTGAACACTATAAAACATTGATGAAAAATTGTAGATGACACAAATACATGGAAAGATATTTTATGTTCATGGGTAGGAAGAATTAATATTCTTAAAATGTCCTTACTGCCCAAAGCGATTTATAGGTTTAATGCAATATTTATCAAAATTTCAATGTCATTCTTCACAGAAATAGAAAAAACAATTTGAAAATTTATATGGAACCACAAAGGATCCTGAATAACTAAAGGACTCTTGAGCAATAAGAACAAAGCTGAAGGCCTCACAATCTGACTTCAAAACATATTACAGGAAAAGAACAAAAGAAGGAAGAAGAGGGTAGAGGAGAAGTGCAGCAAGGGTGGAGGGAGGTGCCCACGCTGGGTCGGAGGAGCAGGAGGAGTATGGAGGGAAGACTCCTGGGTGGCATGGAGCTCTTGCACCTCTAGGCACTGCCCAGCCCTGTGTCAGCCAGGGCTGAACCCCCACAGGATAAGGAAGCCTGTGTGTGTACCAACAATCAAAGCTACATCTGTGACACAACAGGACACTGCTATGGGCAGTCTCAGTGTTGTAACTACTACTATGAACATTGGTGGTTCTGGCTGGCATGGACCATCACCATCATCCTGAGCTGCTGCTGTGTCTGCCACCACAGCCAAGCCAGCCCTCAAGTCCAGCAGTAGCAACATGAAATCAACCTGACTGCCTATCCAGAAGCCCGCAATTACTCAGTGCTACCATTTTATTTCACCAAACTATTTATTACCTTCTTATGAGGAAGTGGTGAACTAACCTCCACCTGTTTCCCTCCCTGTCTGTCCATTGTGGATGAGCTCTGAGCCCTGTTTTCCTGTGAAGATTCTTTGAATTGCAGCCATTCTATTCACATGAACTCTCACATCTGGAGCACAGATGGCCCTCTCAAGGTAATTTATTGTATGCATTGACTGTTTACCAAACAAATGTCTTACTATGTACTCAGGTATATTCAGCAGCATTGTCGACTGCAGTCCCCTATGCTTGCCAGAAGATACTGTATTCAAAGTAGAAGTTTCACAGTGATGAGTAATCACTGCAATTTTCCCATTGCTCCATGGACTCTCGGAGGCCGGTGTTCTGTTCCCTGTAAATAGAGATGTACTCTGAACCTTTCTGCCTCTCTCAGCTGTTCCTAGTCCTTGGTATCAGCCCCTGGAGATGTCCACAACCACTTAGGACAAAAGGCAAAAGTGGAATTTCAGACAAAACTTTGATAGGATCTTCAGTGATAAACTTGGACTAACTGTGGCCCAGGTATCAGCACTCCCAAGAATTGCCAGGAGGAAGCTTTGGCAGACACCACAGGTATGGCAAGGCCTATCTCCCTCTGCTGAATCCAACAGGGGCAAGCAAGCTGGCATGTGGCTTGAGGTGACCCGAATATGTCAGCACCCCTCAGATGTCTTTCTTTGCACTTTTGAAAAAAATCTCAGAATTTGCTGGCAACATGGCCAAATAGGAACAGCTCCAGTCTGCAGCTCCCAGTGAGATCAATGCAGAATGCAGGTGATTTCTGCATTTCCAACTGAGGTACCTGGTTCATCTCACTGGGACTGGTTGGACAGTGGGTGCAGCCCACGGAGGGTGAGCCAAAGCAGAATGGGGCGTTGCCTCACCCAAGAAGTGCAAGGGGTTGGGGGAATTCCCTCCCCTAGCCAAGGGAAGCCCCGAGGGACTGTACCATGAGGAACGGTGCACTCCACCCAGAAACTATGCTTTTCTCATGGTCTTCACAATCCACAGACCAGGAGATTCCCTCCAGTGCCTCTGCCACCAAGGCCCTAGGTTTCAAGCACAAAACTAGGCAGCTGTTTGGGCAGACACCGAGCTAGCTGCAGGAGGTTTTTTTTTTTTATGCCACAGTGGCAACTGGAATGCCAACAAGACAGAACCATTCTCTCTCCTGGAAAGGGGGCTGAAGCCAGGGAGCCAAGTGGTCTGGCTCGGCGGGTCCCACCCCTACAGAGCCCAGCAAGCTAAGATCCACTGGCTTGAAATTCTTGCACAGCAGTCTGAGGTTGACCTAGGACACTAGAGCTTGGTGGGGGGAGGGGCTTCCACATTGCCAAGGCTTGAGTAGGCAGTTTTACCCCCACTGTGTAAACAAAGCCACCAGAAAGTTTGAACTGGGTGGAGCCCACCACAACTCAGCAAGGCCACAGCAGCCAGACTGCCTCTCTAGATTTCTCCTCTCTGGGCAAGGCATCTCTGAAAAAAGGGCAGCAGCCCCAGTCAGAGACCTATAGATAAAACCCCCATCTCCCTGGAACAGAGCACCTAGGGGAAAGGGCGGCTGTGGGCACAGCTTCAGCAGACTTAAAGCATCTTTGAAAAGCCTGATGGCTCTGAAGAGAGCAGCAGATCTCCCAGCACAGTATTCGAGCTCTGATAAGGGTCAGACTGCCTCCTCAAGTGGGTCCCTGACCCCCGTGTATCCTGACTGGGAGACACCTCCCAGTAGGTGCCAACAGGCACCTCATACAGGAGAGCTCTGGCTGGCATCTGGTGGGTGCCCCTCTGGGACAAAACTTCCAGAGGAAGAAACAGGCAGCAATCTTGGCTGTTCTCCAGCCTCTGCTGGTGATACCCAGGCAAACAGGGTCTAGAGTAGACCTAGGGCAAACCCCAACAGACCTGCAGCAGAGGGGCCTGACTGTTAGAAGGAAAACTAACAAACAAAAAGGAATAGCATCAACATCAACAAAAAGGACAGCCACTCAGTGACCCCATCAGAAGGTCACCAACATCAGAAACCACAGGTAGATAAATCCATGAAGATGGAGAGAAACCAGAGCAAAAAGGCTGAAAATTCCAAAAACCAGAACGCCTCTTCTCCTCCAAAGGATC
>NT_187501.1:0-66486 GCF_000001405.40 Homo sapiens | reverse complement strand
GAATTCTGGGTGTCTTTCTCAGCTTGTTCTGTCTCCCCTTTGGTGTGCTTCTTTTCGATTTGCTCTTTGTAATCTGCTATTCTCTTTTGAGAGTGACAGGATTACATAATTTCTGGGAATACTATTGGATACTTAATCTTTTTATTCTGTTCTATGAAGGCACTATAGTGTGGTGGTTAAAGGTTATGCTGTGGAGTCAAACTGCAGTTTTTTCAGTTACTAAATTGATGATCTTTGGCTACCTGTTTAACTTCCCTAAGTCAGTGTATAGAAGGTTAACGGTACTTACCTCACAGGGATGTTGGATTTAATGAAGTGGTATCTATAAAGTGCCCAGCACAATGCCTAACACAAAGTAAGTACAGAAACAGTTACCATAGAGTTTTTCATGGATTGAAAGGTTTGTCCTTTGAACCATTTGAAGAATGATCATCTTTCTCTGCTGTTGAATTCTTCTGTAGTTCTCTCTGTAGTCTTGAGTCATAATTTGCTCATTTGTTTGCATTTAACATTTGAGTGTTTACTGTGTGCGAACACCACTGTAGTGAAGGCTGGAGATGTTGGGGCAAATCAGTGTGCCCCCACGGGGCTGTCAGTCTAGTTTGGGGCTGCTCCCTGGTGAGCTGGAGTGGGGTTGATCTTTTCAGGATCTTTATTGTAAACCAGTCATTGTCAGATAGGTTTCTTTTTCCTATTTTTATCTCAAGAATGTCTGTTCTTTGGTATGTTATGCATTTTTAGAAAGTTTTTACTTGAAAATATGTTCAAACTCTAAAAGTTGGAAAAAATAAAAATAATACCCATATCCCATTTACTTAGATATATCTGTTGTTAGCATTTCATTATCATTGGGCATGCCCTCTCTCACTTTCTCTGTGTGTGTGTGTGTGTGTGTGTGTATGTGTGTGTGTCTGTGTGTCTCTATTCCCCCAAACCCCTACTATTTGAGGATTAATTACATACATTGTGCCTTTTTACCACCATTTCAGTATGTATTTCTTAATAGTAGGAATATTCTTTAAAAATCACAATCCTGCTATCAAATTCCTAAACTTACATCAATGCCGTATGTTTATCTAATGTACCAGCCATATTACAGTTATGTCATTTGATCTTCAGTCCTTCATAATCTACCCCTTCCTCCAAGTAGGTTCTAGGATTTAGTTTTTGTCATTGGTATTTTTGAAGAATAGAGTTCTTCTCGATATACTTGTTTTTTTCTTTTTTCAAACAGAAATTTCCCCATTTTGTTTTTGATAACCCCTTATAATTAGATGAGAGGCATGCATTATTGACCAGAATACTGCAAAATGCTGATCCATCCTCAGGGTATCACAACTGGAAGCACATATTATTCCACTTTCCCTCATGAGAATCACCTGGTCAGGCTGTTGCCCAATTTCTATTCCCCCCTCCTTTGTATCTAATAAAGCAGTATGTGAGGATACTTTAAGACCATGCAAATATCTTGCTTTTCCTCAGAATTTCCTTCTAGATTTGAAAAACTTACTCCCTAGGCCGGGTGTGGTGGCTCACACCTGTAATCCCAGCACTTTGGGAGGCTGAAGTGGGTGGATCACTTGAGGTCAGGAGTTCGAGATCAGCCTGGCCAACAGGGTGAAACCCTGTCTGTACTAAAAATACAAAAATTAGCCAGGCATGGTAGCGGGTGCCATGTAATCCCAGCTACTCAGGATGCTGAGACCGGAGAATCGCTTGAACCCAGGAGGTGAGGTTGCAGTGAGTTGGACTCATGCTACTACACTCCAGCCTGGGTGACAGAGATAGACTCTATCTCAAAAAACAGCAACAACAACAACAACAGCAACAACAACAACAAACTTACTGCCTGATGATGCCATTTTAACATGCTTTCTTTTGGTTGCAAATGATGTATTTCCAGCTCTAGCACTCCCACCACATTTACCAGTTAGCCCTCTGCTTTCTTTTGTAAGCAAGAACACTTCTTTCACATGTTAAGCTTACTTACTATTAATATTGACTCATGAACTCCTATTATCTTCAATCATTTACAACTCATTACCTAATTATTTTTTGGCTCAAATAGTCACATACTTGCTGTCAGTTGCTCCTTCAAGCTGGCACTGGTGTTCTGCCCTCACCGCTTTTTTGAACACTTCATACTTTTTGGTGTAACAAGATGTTACAAGCTCATCTTATACCTCCCATGCCCCAGTCCTGGAATAAGTCCATTGTTAAATAAGTAACCCAGATTCCTTTAGTGGGGAATGGGTGCTGGGTGTGCTCATTGCTACTGGAGGGTGTTTACTTCTTCACCCTTTCAGCAGGTGGTGTCACGAAATACATGCATGTGTATACACTTACAGAAGTTTGTCCAACCCATGGCCCACAGGCTACATGTGGTCCAGGATGGCTTTGAATGTGGCCCAACAGAAATTCATAAAATTTCTTAAAACATTATGAGGTGTTATTTTTTTTTTTTTTTTTTTTGTGTGTGTGTGTGTGTGTGTGTGTGTGTGTAGCTCATCAGCTGTCATTACTGTTAATGTATCTTGTGTGTGGCCCAAGACGATTCTTCTTTCAATGTGGTCCAGGAAAGCCAAAAGATTGAACACCCCTACACGTTATGTATATATACATAAATATTCATATACATATACATAACTTAGAAATAATGAATTTATACCAGCACCTCCAGTTCTTATCCTTCTCCACTGAGTTATTTGCCTTTTCATTCTTGCATGTCTGTTCTTCTACAATAAAAATACTGGGTTGTAGAACAGCACATTTATTCAGTTGCTCAATCTAAAAAGCAAGTCTGCTTCAGTTTGCTCTCAGTAATAGATTTTATTCCCCTTTTTCTTAGTGATTTAATTTTTTAAATATAGAAGGTATTAGTATACTTTCAAAACTATATGAAATTTTGCTCAGAATTGTCACTGTCTCTTGTTTATTACTTATACCGCATTTCCCCCAGCCTCTTGGAAGTAACTAACTTCATTGTTTTCTGTTTTAAACCTCCTGTTATTTTTCATCTAAGAATAAGAGGATATATTGCTCTTTCAGTGAAGGTAGCATGTTGTATATGTTCTTTTGCATGTTGCTTTTTTCATGTAATAAAATCTGGAAATCACTTCCAGGCAAGTTAGGCAAGTTCAAGAGATCTCATTCTCCTTTTAAACAGCTGCATAGCACTCCATTGTGTATCTGTGCTATCGGTTACTTAACCAGTGGCCTGTGCTTTGGTATTTCAGTAGTTTATGATATTTTGCATTATAAATGATTTTACACTCCCTGGCTTTGTGCATGTGTGTTTTTGAATTCTCAGGGACAAATCTGTAGGGTAAATTCCTAGGATTATTGCCTCAGGAGTGTACACATATGTAGCTTTGTTAGATACTGTGAAATTCCCTTTTTTGGGGCTTATGGTACTTTGCATTGCCACCAGAGATGTGTGAGAGAACTTTTCCTACGTCTTTGCTAACAGGATGACTTGTTTAGCTTTTGAATGTTTGTCTGTCTTCTGGGTTAAAAGTAGTGTATCAATGTAGTTTTAATTTTTGTTTATCCTAAGAGTGAAGTCGATCGTTTTTTCATGTGTTTAAGGGTCAGTTTTTATTTCTTCTCATGAATTGTCTGTTCATGTGTTTTGCCTGTTATTGAAGATTTTGGCATTTTTCCCTAAATTTAAGAGTTCT
Organism: Homo sapiens; assembly: GCF_000001405.40. Classification (NCBI taxonomy): domain Eukaryota; kingdom Metazoa; phylum Chordata; class Mammalia; order Primates; family Hominidae; genus Homo; species Homo sapiens. The sequence goes on along the minus strand of NT_187501.1, from coordinate 62,806 downwards.
TTATAAGTTAGGGATGTAAGCCTTTATATGTGTTACATGATGCAGATACTTTCTGCTAGCTTTTTTTTTTTTTTTTTTTTTTTTTTTTTTTGCTTATTTGTGTGAGACAGTGTCTCACCCTGTCACCCCGGCCATAGTACATTGGTATGGTCATAGTTCACTGTAGCCTTGACCTGGGCTCAAGCAATCTTCCTGCCTCAGCCTCCCGAGTTAGCTAGGAGTTATGTGTACCACGAAGCCCAGCTAATTTTTTACTTTTGTAGAGACAGGGTCTCACCATGTTATCCAGGCTGTATTATGTGTCTTTTGACTTTGTTTTTATTATTTTTTTTTTTGCCATGCAAAAGTTTCTTTTTGTGGAGTTAGATTTATTAATCTTCTTTTGCTTCTGGATTTTTGAGTCATATTCAGAAAGCTTTTCCCTACACTGAGGGTATAGAGGACACAGATAGTCTTCTCATTGCTGGTAAGCAGTATGTTCATATTGTCTAATTTGATTGAGTTATAAGATAATGTCTTTATCCCAAAGACATTTTTGCAATTGCTGTATGTATATACATTACAGTAACTACATCTTTTAGTTAAGAGATTCTGGAAAAGAATTGACAATGGATCTAAAGTATGTTAGTTTCTCTTGAAAGCCTTTTTTTTTTTTTGGAGGGGGATATCATGATTAAAAATATTTTGTACCATCAGATCTGTTATTTGGTAGTTTTCATTTATCCTTACCTGTAGTCTTTCAATAAAGTGGGAAAGAAGATGAGATTTCAGTTTGGTATCAGTTTGGTATCAGAACATGTATAGGCCTGGGCAATATAGTGAGACCCTATCTCTACAAAAACAAAAAAAGTATCTGGGCATGGTGACACATGCCTGCAGTCCCAGCAGTTTCGGAGGCTGAGGTGGGAGGACCACTTGAGCCCAGGAGGTTGAGGCTGCAGTGAGCCATGTTTGTGCTACTGCACTCCAGCTTGGGTCACAGAGTGAGATCCTGTTTCAAAAAAAAAAAAGAACATAGATAAATAGATAAATTTTAGTCACTGATTTGTAAATGAGGCTAGCAGTGTCTTTTTACTATAACTTAAAAATTACCTTGATGAGATTGAGTTAAAGGTTTAACATACTGGTATCCTGATTTAAAATTTACCAGTGACTATGTTTCTGATATCTAAGTTTATAGATTTCCTGAGATTAGTCTTTTAATTTACAGACAATGATGAAGAACAACGATTATATCCAAAGAATATTTTGGCTAGGTTGGCAGGTATGGTTAAGCAAAATAAATATTGGTGGTTAGCAAATCTTTTCTGTCTGTGCTTTTGAGTCTATAGTAACTTTGTCGCATCTGGGTATCTACTATTAGAAAATGCCTACACATTCTAGATCAGTCTTTACTTTTTAACTTAGGTACCTCACATAACATGATTGATCCTCATTTTCTTAACTAAAAAATGAGTATGAGAACTTTTCCTGTGTAATTTTCAATCCATTTGGAAGTACTTGTGTTGTAAAACATGTTTTCATTAGGTTTTCTGGTGTGTGGCTGATTCTAATCCATAAATCCTTGTGTACTTTGGCTTTCATTCACTTAATAATTGTCTGCTTTGATGAATACCTTCTGATTTAAGTTCTAGTGTAGCCAAATGTTTTATATATCTATAGTTAGAAAATTTAAAATTTGTTTGTACATTACCATAACAAATGTTCTGAATTTTGTAATATCATCCCAACATACAGTGAATACCGAATTGGAAAAACAGATTTCTAATGAGACTGATAGTGAAGAAATGAAAATGTCTTCTGAAGTGAAGCATATTTGTGGCGAAGATCAAATTGAAGATAAAATGGAAGTGACAGAAAACATTGAAGTCGTTACACACCAGATCACTGTGCAGCAAGAGCAACTGCAGTTGTTAGAGGAACCTAAAACAGTGGTATCCAAAGAAGAATCAAGGCCTCCAAAATTTGTCATTGAATCTGTCACTCTTCCACTAGAAACCTTAGTGTCCCCACATGAGGAAAGCACTTCATTATGTCCTGAGGAACAGTTGGTTATAGAAAGGCTACAAGGAGAAAAGGAACAGAAAGAAGATTATGAACTTTCTACTGGATTGATGGACTCTGAAATGACTCCTACAATTGAGGGTTGTGTGAAAGATGTTTCATACTAAGGAGGCAAATCTATAAAGTTATCATCTGAGACAGAGTCATCATTTTCATTATCAGCAGACATAAGCAAGGCAGATGTGTCTTCCTCACCAACACCTTCTTCAGACTTGCCTTCACATGACATGCTGCATAATTACCCTTCAGCTCTTAGTTCCTCTGCTGGAAACATCATGCCAACAACTTACATCTCAGTCACTCCAAAAATTGGCATGGGTAAACCAGCTATTACTAAGAGAAAATTTTCTCCTAGTAGACCTCGGTCCAAACAGGTAGGGTGATTTTAATGATATTGACAGAAAAGATATTGGAACAATTCTATAAAATCAGAAGGTATATGTGTAGCTTTGGTGTGGATGGCAACTTTTTCTGTCTTCAGATAGAACTTCAGTGTAATGTTGATTATATGTTTCAGCCATTATTTTTTAAATGCTGTTAATGAAGAATGCCATTTATTAAATTTGAAGGGATCTTATTTGGAATTTCAACTCAGCTGGGCCATAAAGATGCAACCTATTGATAATAGTTTCTAATAGAAAGAGCTTTAAAATTCTTTTAGTTCTGTGCTGCAGTAAATATAGAGCCTAAAATACAGTATAGGTTTGGGTGTACAGTAACTAACATCTATTATTTCCTTCTAATATATTTATTTATTGATATTATTCATTGTATATATTTTTAACTGGATAAACATCAACATTTATGACAGGAATTTTCCATGCTGGGGAATTTCTCATTTTGGTGTTTTTATTAATTGCTAACTCTTGTGGGATTTCTTTTTTCAAGTAGGACTTATTTCAGTAGTTTCATGGAAAAAATCTTAGAATTGTACTATTGATTCTCAGTAAGTAAAGATAAATCTTCCTGTGTCTGCTTTACATCATGTACATTCTACCCTTTAAGAATGAGTTCCATTTCTAAGTGAGATTTAAGTAAAACTGCATGGCAAAATGAGGATACTATAGGTACAAATTATTTATTGTTTTACAAATTTGCTACTTTCTGAAGTGTTTTTTAAAATTGCAAGATAAATAGTGGAGAAGTGTTAATTCACAATAGTAATTTGGAGTTTTAAGTTTCATGATTGAAATTGCTTCAAGTGAAGTTTTAAGTTTCATGATTTAAATGGATTAAAGTTTGGCTTTTTATAGGAATAATATCTTGATTTTAATCGTATAATTTTTAAACTGTAAGGCCAGGCTTTTAAGAAAATCATTTTTAATGTGAAAATTAGTCTCCTCTATATCAAACCCAGATATATTTTATTCTCTAAAGACAAGGTACACGAAAGGGAAAGTAGTTGTCAGATGGGATTTAGCTGTTTCTGCATGGCAAAGACGTGTGCAGTAAAACTAGGCCACTCTTTATATATGACTTTTTCTAAGTATTTTCTCTTTGACAGTTATTTCTGCTCTACCATGAAAAGTTTTTCTTCTCAAACCAGTTGTTCTTTTTTCCAGTAAGTTTTGTTTTGTTTTGAGTAGTTATATAATAATTATGTCATTCTAACTGAAAATACTTTAGCAATGGAAATTTGAATCTCAAGTTTACTTTTGGTTGATATATTTACATTCTTTAAAGATACTGCTTCATATATATTCCTGTTAAATTTTGCATATCTCTCCTTCCTTGAAGACTTTTGTTTCAATTGAGAAACCAGGTTCAATACATTAGGACTCTCTTTCTGTAGACTTTATGTTCTGAAATATTGGGGAGGGGGGTGTATTTCCAGGCTTATTCCATCTTATATGAGCCATGTCCTAGTATTTTGTTGAGCTGCCTTTGAATTCCCAAATCCGATGATAATCTTTCTGTTTTTCTGCCCCTCTTGTTACTACTTCATCAATTGCTGCTAATCTTGTAAGCATTTTGTAGGCTGTGTTTTCCCTCCCTCCAGCTTTTTAGTTTTCCAATCTTGGTTTTAGTTATCTAGCAAACAGCCTTCACTTGATGATGAACCTGCTAATATAGTGCTGTTATTAGGGAGAGTATGAATTGAATAGTTCAAGATAGATCTTCCATTGGTGAGGCACTGGGACCATAACTTGCAGGAAATATTCTACAGTTAGCAGGAATGTGTATATACGTATATTAGAAATACTGAAGTTCAGTATTCTGTTACATGAATTTCTTTGATATTAGGCATTTCCGTATTATACTTCCTTTTTTATTTACTGTTGTTTCTACATATTCTTCACATCGGGGACCGGCTGTAAAATAAGCTGCATTTTCCTAGCTGTGATTGTGATGTAAGCAAGATTCTTTGGTTTCCAGCTATTTTTTTGTTAAAGTCACTGGCATTTTCATATTTTGTTGAACATTACCAATTCTTTGGTCTTTACCAGTACAGTAAATACTAACCAAAGAAATGTAGATTTACCTTAAGTTCTGTTTCATGGTGGGCAAATTATTAAGTTGATTTTAATGATTTTCTATAATAGTATTATATGAGCTTTTCTAGGAATTCACTTCAAAATTAAACAAACATTTTAATAGGAAACATCTGAAAGATCTAGTTTGTGATAGCTAGTGATTGGATTATCAGATGTTATCTGGAGGTACAAGCTAGCCAACCAGTAGAACGGTGAGCCAGTGCTGTCTAATAGAAATATGATGCAGACCATATGTGTAATTTTAAATTTTCTAGTAGTTACACTTAAAAAAAAAGGTGAAATAAATTTTAATATATTTTATTTAACCTGGTATATTCAAAACAATATTTCAGCATTTAGTATAAAAGTGAACAAGATGCTTTATACTTAAAACATCAGTTCTGGCTAGCTGCATTAGAAGTGCTCGGTGGTCACATATGATGGTGGCTGCCTTATTGCACGATGCAAGACAAAACATTTTGAGAAATACAAAAACAGCAGTTCCAGAATTATTGGTGAAATTAAAATACCAGAAGAATTCAAGATCGACAAACTAAGACTGTGGCTGTGCTTTCACAATTTTTAAGGACTGAAGTAGAAATATTCTTTTTCTGTTGTTCATGGAACACATTTTAATGCAGATAATTGCTAAACCATTTGTTGCAGCAACAAATCATTCACATCTTCAAGTATATTCAGTTTTAAATATATAATCCAAATAACCCAATATTGGAGATTTTCTGAAGGTGAGATGTTAAGACACAGAAAATGGAATTTATATCTCAGGTATTGGACATCCATTATGAAATATCAAATCATATAGAATTATTTTCCTTTAAGGAGGTTAGTAATTAAAAGTTTAGTTTTTTGTATTTTTCCTTTCATATGGAATATTTCAGGTGCTATTTAGTTAGAAATATGATGCTTATTTTCTTTATGACATGTTTGAGATATATCTCAAATGTATGATTTAGAACCTAACTGACTACAGGAATAGTAACACATTTTTCTGATGGCTGTGAATAGAATAAGATTCCTTTTGTTTTTTGTTTTTTTGCCTATTGTAGATGCAGGATTTCACAAAGATGAGGAAAAATTAGACATGATAAGGTAGAAGTAACAGACAGCAAATTGGATATTGTTTCATACAAATTGTCCTAATGACCTAGTTGTATTTTCTCATCTTTTATTGAAGTTATATATTCATAAATAATTTAGTATTTCATTTTTCAGCATTTAAAAATATTTTTTATTTTTTTATAGAGATGGGGGTCTTGCTGTGTAGACCAGGCTGGTTACAAAGTCCTGGCCTCAAGTGATCCTCCCATCTCGGGTCTCCCAGAGTGCTGGGATTACAGGTGTGAGCCCCACAGCGCCTGGCCCATTTTCAACATTTCTATAGGTATATGTGCTTTGCGACCTGGGTTTAAGAAAGTGGTTATTGACACTGACACATATTGTAATCAACTCAGTAGATTTTAGAACATCAAGCTAATGACCTTACCCTAGACCAATTAAAATGCACTTCTAGGATCATCTTTAACTGTAACCCTGAAAGTGGAGTCCTGAACTAGAGAAATGTGCTACTTGTCTTACTGATTTTTAAAAATGCATTAAAATTAATACTATAAGGAATGCTCTTTAAAAATGGTGGAAAATAAAGTGGAAATTTTAAATTTGTCATATTAAATCATAACATTTGTTTTTATTTCTGTCTTCAGTCCATTTCTCTCATTGCACAATTGTATTCCCATTCTAATTAGGAAATTCTGAGATAATAATCTTAGGTCTTCTTGTATGATTTACCCTGTATGTATCATCACGTCTTATAGAAAGATATTGAATGTAATCACACTACTATGATCTACTTCAGACACCCTCATGTTCTAATTGCTTTCATGGTGGTATTGAAAGTTTTTATTAAGCATTTTATGAAACGTATTATTTGCAGTAGATATTTCTTTATTTTATTTTTATTTATTTCTTTGAGATTGAGTCTTGCTCTGTCACCCAGGCTGGAGTTGTGGCACGACCTCGCTCACTGCAGCCTCTGCCTGCCTTGCTCAAGCAGTTCTCCTGTCTCAGCTTCCTGAGTAGCAGGGACTACAGGCGCACGTCAACACACCTGGCTAATTTTTTTTATATTTTTAGTAGAGATGGTGTTTCGCCATATTGGTTAGGCTGGTCTTGAAATCCTGACCTCAGGTGATCCACCCGCCTTGTCCTCCCTAAGTGCTGGGGTTACAGGGGTGAGCCACCACGCCCAGACTGCAGTAAATATTTCAAGAAAATTTCATAAATGAAAACATAGGTACTGTATTTTGATATCTCTTGGACAAATTATTAGAAGTTTACTTTATATTATAAGAAGAGTACTTTCAGTTTTAAAAGTAGCCAGAGAACCATAGTGTTAAACCTAAAAAATATCTACCCCTTTGGAACACCAAGCTAACAACACAGCAGATTAGAAGTACCAGAATTTGCTTTTAGTTCACTTGTGCTTGTTGTGGTATTTTTGGAGACATTACTGTTGCTAGCACTACCTAATTTGTATTGTGAAATTATTGAAGGCTAAAGCTGGTAATAGCTGTTTCTGTAGTTATCAAAACAGGATTGGGTCTAATTTCTTGTTCTACTTGATATTGAACTCAATTTTATATATGAGACTTCTTTTAAGAATTCCCTAAAGAGTGAAGTGTTTGCTGCTGTAGCTCCAGTGTATACAAGTGATTATATTTACCAAAAAGACAAACTGTAAACTCTTTTGTTTCTTTTACCAGTTATCTTCCTTTCTGCCCTCTGTCTTCATTGCTTTCACTTTTCCTAAATTAGACTTACTGTTTATAAGCAACCTTGGTTTTACATAGTATGTTGGAAGAGTGTGGTGCCGGGGTTGATTTAAGATTTGGAGGTGTAAAGTTTGCCTTTGAGACACCAAACCTTCTATGGCTGCTTTTAAAACTGATAGTACTCTTGGGCTGTAAGAATGACTTTGATCATATTTAACAATCAGCAATAGAATTTGACTTTTAATAGAAAGTTGCTTCTAAATAGCCTATCCTCAACTTGTCATTATTGTTCTCATTTCCCCATCCCACAGTCCTTGTATAACTTACTAGCTTGGACAGTTTACCTGAGAAATTGGCCTCAAAGCAGAAAGAAACTTAATGCTAATATTAAACTATTTTTGGGTTAAATTATTTTTCTTGGGTTCAAATTCAGTCCCTGCCAGGTAGTGTTTTTTTAGTTTCTGTAGTATTTGATAGCAAGTTGATTCTATTTACAACTTAATAATGATTACATTAGGAACTATTTTGCTTTTAATTCAGTTTGTAGATTAAGGAGGCATTATATAGATTTTTTAGTAATTTTTAGTAACTTTTTTTTAAGTGAAGAAATTCAAGATTCTAGGTTATTACTGGTGGAGGCATTAGTGTGTTTCATATCATAGCTCATTGTTTATTGATGAATTCATACACACATGCAAAAAAAGATAATAGATGCTCAGCAGAAAAAAAGTTCAGTAAGTGCTGAACAGTGTGCTTAACGTAGCAGTGGACAGAAAGGGGCATGATCTTTAATTACAGTGTAAAAAGTGCTGCAACTGGATTGTAGGAGAAGAGCCCATACATTACAGGGGCAGGTAACCTTTTCTGAATGGTTTGTGTAAATTCTTGATCAAAGCTAAGATCTGAAGGATAATTTAAACTTTGATAATTATAGCTATATTTTAGTTTTAAGGTCTAAGGAATATACTAGATAATTTGTCAGAATATCTAAGTATAATGATAATTTTTCTTCAGAACTATAAAATTACACAAAGTCTGTCTTTTCAAAGTGAGATAAAATTTTGGCATCAAAGCTAACTTTTAAATTATGATGAATAATACATAATTACCAGAAAATTCTTATTTCTGAAATAAAATTATTCAACATTATTTTTATCTTAGAGTATGACTTTCTGTCTCATATTTTTTAGAACTGTCTACTGCCAACATAATATTAAACTATTGACTAAAAAGAATTTAAGATGTATGTTAGCCAAATCTCAGAGAAAAACCAATGGAAATATTGAGAGAAGTAATTTAGGTATCTCTTGCCCCACTGCCTACCACTAAATAAAATTACAAACAATAAAATGTCCTAGGTGGTGATGCAATGAGAGGCACTAATGGTGTGGTAAGAGAGATGATGGTTCACTGGGAGCACTAAGGAAAGGTCTCCTGGTGAGAAAATATGTAAGGCCATACCTGAAGAGTTAGAAAATGCCAGACATGGCTGGCCATGGTGGATCACATCTGTAATCCCAGCACTTTGGGATGCCAAGCCTGGTGGATCACAAGGTCAGGTGTTTGAGACCAGCCTGACCAACATGTTATTGCTCCTAAAATACAAAAATTAGCCGGGCCTGGTGGTGCATGCCTGTAATCCCAGCTACTCAGGAGGCTTGAGGCAGGAGAATTGCTTGAACCTGGGAGATAGAGGTTGCAGTGAGCCGAGATCACACCACCACACTCTAGCCTGGGTGACAGAGTGAGACTCCATCTCAAAAAAAAAAAGAAAGAAAGAAAATGCCAGACATTTATTGAAGAGCCAGAATGGTATAGTGAAGTGTTGTGAGTCAGCTGGGCTCTGATTGATACAGAGCTTGGCATGTTTGAAGGACAGCAAGGAAGCCAGAATAGCTGGAGCATAGCAGCAGGGAGACAAGTGCCACATGATGAGTTAGAGAAAGGCACTGGGAAAGGTTTGTATTTTAAGTGCTCTGAGAAGCAATTGAAGGTTTGAAATAGAATAGTGACTTGCTTGATCACATTTGTACTTTTGAAAAGTTCCTCTGGCTGCTGTGGGGAAAGGTTTGAGTAGATGCAGGGTGGGAGAAGCATAACCAGCAGTAGACTCTTGTAGCAGGTTAGGTGAGAGATGGTGGTGGCCACGAGTGTGCTGCTAGTGGTGGAAGTGACAAGAAGTAGAAGGATTGGAGACAAAACTTGAAGATAAAAAGTCTTGAATTTGCTGATGATTTGCATTGACGAAGTGTTGGGGGAGAGGACTGAAGAAGCAGAGGAGAGTGACAAGGGACTGGATGCCATTTATAAGGATGGGGAAGACTGGGATGAAACCGGTTAAGGGAGAAATTTTAAACATGGCAAACTTAAGAGGGGTTTTGTGTGAGAAAATGGAAATGCTAAGAAGGAAGTTGAAAATCCTTCTAATTTGGAGATCTTTGTTTAAAACCAGAAATAAGAATGTGGGAAGCATCAACTTCCAAGATGTCCTCATTGTAGATAATACCATTTAGGATCTAGGCTCAAGCCCTGGGAAACTCCAGGGCTTTGGAAGTCAAATAGAGGAAGAACACGTACAGGAGATGAAGAAAGATTAGCGAGGAAGTCAGTGAAATATCCACAGGTGGACTGCTGCCAAATCCAGCAGAACAGTATGACAGATGTCAGGAGCATGAGTAAAATGAGAAGAGAGAAATGGCTTTTGACAACAGTTCCCTATTAATAGTAGGGAAGAAGACATAGGTACAGATTCAAGTTGATTGGAAATTATGAAAGTGAGGTAATTGACCTGCAGTGGTTGCTGCTCAGTGAAATCAGCCTAGTGATTACCTGAGCTAGGTTAGAGATTTGATGGGTAAGAAAGAACACCTGAGGGTAATCCTGGAAGGGAAAAAATAAAGTGTTTGCTGGAGAGAATGAGTTGGATTGCTGGACTTCAATGTGTGCGGGTTGAGTTTGTGACTTAAAAATGAAACCAGTCTATTGCTTGTGTGGCTTTTCTCAAAATACTGTTATTCAATTACCTATCTCTTACCCCAAGAGTAGTCACATTCTTATTTCTGGTTATTTTAATTCCTGGTGGTATTTTTATGTGATTAATGAGATAGTACTTGTTAATTTGATGATATTCTAGAAACCTGGTAAGTACTATGTACCTTAAGTTTTGGTTACTTGATTGGTAAAATTATGCATGCACCATTGAATTACCTAATTCAAAATATATTCTTTTATTGTTTGACATTTGTCTTGTTTTTCTTTAAAATGTTATCTTTGTGGAGTAAACATTTTTCTTTATGCTGTTTAGCATCTTCAGATTAGTTCAGGGTATTGCTGAATGTGGTTGTTCAGAAGTAAAATGCTTTAGTTTTAGTTATATAGATTTTAATAAGATAGTACTTTCTACATAATTTATCAGGCACTTTAGGCATTTTAATTTGCAAATTTAGGACAATTTGCTTTAACGTTTCTTCACTTTTGTCCATTGGATGTAATTTCCATAAAGTATTCATTTCCCTAAGTAAAAACCGAAACCAAACCGACAACTAATGGTCACTGAAGAAAGAGTGATTAAATGCTAAGATTATAATGGTATTTGCATTTTAATGTTACCAGCTCTCTACAGTTAAAAGTGTATGCATTTATCGATTGCTTATGTTTCTCATTGCATTCTTTGGCCTACTGGTTTTTGTTGTTTATAGCTATAGAATATAGAATTCCTTGTGGTTATCCATTTCTCCTTTTAAGTAGAGTGATAGTTGTTAGAAGAAAAATAACCCCCCAATACTTTCTTCTAGTGTTAATTCTTAAAGTGTGATTGACGTTTATTTACTTTTTGGTGCAGTAATTGCAGTTCATGAGTCAAAGTTGATGTCATATAAACCCTAATTTTTAATGTTTCATTGTAATGATGTCTCTGTAGCAGCAAACATTTAAGTTATTTGTTATAGTTAAATGTTTAAATCACTGTTAGTGATTAGCTTATTTTGCCTTCCTTGAAGCAATTTGTCCTAAATTTCCATACGTTTGCATTTGTTTTTGCTGTCCTAAAATTCCTTAGTTGCTGGCTTTGACCTTTTATGTTGCTGAGTTTTACACATCTATTTTCTCAACTGCCATATCTTAGGAGGCTTGGAGTACCCATAATACAGTGAGCCCACCCTCCTGGTCCCCAGACATTTCAGGAGGTCGGGAAATTTTTAAACCCAGGCACTTCCTAGCAGTGCAATTTGGAGCATCAAAGTGGTACATAAAATTACATTTACATTCATATATCATTTCGGTCTGATTTGTTTTGCCCTACTGGATGTTAAGAATTAAGTCTTTCTTTTCTAGATTGAGTTTCCAGAAACGCTTTTTAAATCTAAAAATTTTAATGTAAAGAAATAATATGCTTGCATTTAAAAATCAAGTATACATTTTTAATACCTCTTTTTATGGTTAATTCCTTTTGTTGTGATTACTACTGGTTTTATGAGGGAGAAGTCCTTGACGTGTAGAACAAAAGGTAATTAAGGATCTTTTCATTCATGATATCATAAAACTTTGTTGCTTAGAAAAAAGCAAAAGAAAAAACTCCATTAATTTATTATGTTCTCATGGAGAAGAAATACCAAAATTGTGGCAGATTTCATTGTCTGTTTAATACCTTAAAATGACAAGGCTTTTTCCCCTATGACATTGGTTGATGGCTCTGCCAGTCCTTGAAGTGAGTTAAGTAGTGTGATGCATTTCGGAGAGAAAAAAATTACTTTGAAAAAGTATTAACTCAAAAGTTAAAAAACTTCATTGACTGGAGATGACAGTTTTTCTTCATATTCTATATTTAATATTCTGGAATATGGCTGTTTAATTTAGACTAATGAAGGATTTTAAGGAATTCTAGATTATACTTTATTTTCTTTCATGACTGGAAGAACTATTTTTTTAAACTCCCTACCTCCCCCTGATATCATCCAAGATATTGAAGTATAAATATGCCTCATTTGACAGTTTGATAATATAGACCACCAGTTTTTACTTAATTTTTTTCTGGGTCAGCATTTCATGTTAGAGAAAATAAATTGAGAGACTACTGTAGTCTTGATTTTTAATCACTGACTTAATTTTTCAAAAATCTTTTATACCAATTTAATAACACAAAACAAACTCGGCTGGGTGCAGTGGCTCATGCCTGTAATCCCAACACTTTGGGAGGCTGAGGGGGCAAATCACTTGAGGTCAGGAGTTCGAGGCCAACCTGGCCAACATGGTGAAACCCCGTCTCTACTAAAAATACAAAGAAATTTAGCCGCGCGTGGTGTCATGTGCCTGTAATCCCAGCTGCTAGGGAAGCTGAGGCAGGAGAATTGTTTGAACCCAGGAGACGGAGGTTGCAGTGAGCCAAGATCGCACCATCACACTCCAGCCTGGGCAAAGAAGCAAGACTCCGTCTCAAAAACAAACAAAAAACCCAAAAAACTAACCTGACCCCATCCATCCGTTGTGCAAAGAACCTGATGCACTTCTCTAAAGGGATCTCAAGGAGAGCAGGGTAAGAGAAGACAGGAGTGGCAGTTTGAAACTGGGAGCTGGCTGTATTTATTACATCCAAAGGGAGAAAAGCCATTCCTCCCGTTCCTTTTGTTCATGTGTATCTATTTTATGTTTACAGTATCACCATAAATTTTTGACTTGGAAACCATTCTGCTAAATAGGGAATAAGTTCATTTCAAACTATGATAAGGGACATCAGTTGAAGATATGACATATTATTTAACTTATCATGAGGGAAACATCTAAGTATTTTCCTGAGCATCTGGATAATTTTAAATATACATAATTCTTCTACTTAGGTAGGTGCCAGGTTTTTTCAAGGAGTAATTAATTAGTACAAACAAGGGTGAGGGGGCAGGGAACACGATACTCTGGTACTTAATGTCTGAAATTATCAGGGAATTTAACACATTTTCCCATAGGTTTATTTCTTGTGTAAGAAGTCAGATAAATTATTTCCATTTCAAGTATTTATTATTCAGATTATTTAAAGCAAAGCTTTCACAAAGCCTTTTGTCAGCTTTCCTGTAATCCTCAAATAATTTTTCCTGGCTGGATGCTTTGGCTTACTCCCATAATCCTGGCACTTTGGGAGGCAGAAGCAGGAGGATCACTTGAGCCCAAGAGTTCTAGGCTGCAGTGAGCTGTGATCACACCACTGCAGTCCAACCTGAGTGACAGATCAAGTTCTTGTCTCAAAAATAAAAGTAATAACAATAATAATAAATTTTCCTCTAAATACAATGGTGAATGAGGTAGAAATGTTGAGTTCATAAGAGAACTGTTGAATAGTGAAGGAAACTGACTTAATTTTAATGACAGGAAGAATACTGTCACACACTAGCAAAAATGAACTTTCATGCTGATGTAGCAGTACAGAATATGCTTCCAACCCAGGGACGCTGGAGCCAGGCTTGCTAGCTAAGTAACCTTGGACAAGTTACTTAACCATTTTATTCCTCAGCACACTCATCTCAAATGAGGATAATAAAACCTACTATATGGGATGGATGAGAGTAAAAAATACTTAGATTAGTACATAGTAATTACTCAATAGATGTTAGCTATTACTGTAATCACTGCGAGACCAGTTAATGAGAGAGTTTTTCCTTATCCTTACTCTATATTGAATACGATTTGTTGCACTTCGAAATATCTGGATCAGGCTACAGTTGTTGTCATCACCGAGAATGTAGGAGTGGGAAAGAGAAAAATCATGCAAAGGCTTGCTGATAGCGTTCACAGTGACAGGCCTAAAGTATGATTCTAAGGTTGTAAGCATTTTATATTTAGATTTTTAAGTTGTGGAGTATACTTTTAAAGATAAAAATAATAAGCCAGGTCTTTTAATACTTATCTAAAGAAGTGTTTGTATAACATTTAATAAAATGTTTTATCTCAGTGGCATTTGGATTTAAAAATTATTTTGGGCTGTAACAGAATGTTGACTTTTCCTAATCTGTTACATAGGGCCATGGGTCTGGATTTCCAAGAAAGTGGAGACCTCGAGGTGCAGGACTGTCGGGGCGAGGTGGCCGAGGCAGGTCAAAGCTGAAAAGTGGAATCGGAGCTCTTGTATTGCCTGGGGTGAGGCTTGCTTCATGTATATTTTCTCTAATCTAAATGTCAGTTAATGATGAAAATCTCATAGCAAGTTATTTTGATTTTATGAGTCATATAAATAGGTCAAAATGTTTATTTTACTGTCCTACTTTTCTTTTTTTTGAGCCTCTGGTTACATTTTCTTGTATATTTACTTTCTCACCCTTTCTCTTTTCTTACCTTCCTCTTTGACTCCTTATCTTTCTATGCCAACCCTCTCTAAAAAGTCATTATGTAATATAGTTGCTCTTTTATTTAAAAAATTTTAAGATTGATAGATATTTGCTTACTATCATGTTATGAAGCTTTATTTGTATGTGTATTACAAATACATTTGCTAACTACTAGCAAATATTTTATGTAATAACTTCGCTATTTTATTAAAATCCTGTTTTTAAAATTCTGAAATGTCATTTTAAGTATAGGAGACAGGTGAAATTGTTCAAGTTTACTAATAAACCAGGAATAAGGAAGGTTAGATTCTCATCCTTTTTTCAAAAAGAAAAATTTTAAAACCAGGCTTATTGAGGTATAGTTGATATAAGCTATATTTGACTTGACATGTACAATTCCATCAGCTTTGATATATATATATACACCCTTGAAAACGATACCACAATCATGACAGTGAATATATTCATCTCCCAACGTTTCTTCATGTCCCTCTGTAATTTTCTGCATTCCCCCGCCATCCGTCCTTGTCCCCAAGATTAGTTTGCATTTTCTAAAGTTGTATATAAGTGGAATCATACAGAACTGTATGCTTTTTGCACTGATTTATTTCAGCACAATTATTTGGAGATTCATCTATGCTGTTGTATTTGTTAACAGTGTACTCCCTTTTCTTGCTGTGTATTAATTAAACTGTGGATGCACCACGGTTGTAGACCTGTGCACTTTTTTTTCTTCTTTTTTTTTCCTGAGACAGGTTCTCGTTCTAATTCCTGGCTGGAGTGCAGTGGTGCGATCATAGCTAACTCCAGCTTTGACCTCCCACCTCCGTCTCCCAAGTAGCTGGGACCATAAGTGTGTGCCACCACACCCAACTACTTTTTTAAAATTTTTGATAGAGACAGCATCTCACTATGTTGTCCAGGCTGGTCTCGAACTTCTGAGCTCAAGCAATTTTCCCACCTTGGCTTCCCAAAATGCTGGGATTACAGGCGTGAGTCACCATGCCCCAGCCTGTAGTCTTACATTCTTGTAATGTCTTCGTCTGGTTTTGGTATCAGCATAACTCCAGCTTCATAGAATGAATCAGAAAGTATATTCTCCTCTTCAGTTTTCTGAAAAAGTTGTGTAGTAGTGGAAATGTATCTTCTTATATTATACATGAATTTATTAGTGAAACCATCTTGGCCTGAAATTTTCTTTGTGGGGGGTTTTTGTTGTGTTTTCTTTTTTTTTTTCTTTCTTTCTTTTGTGATGGAGTTTCACTCTTGTTGCCTAGGCTGGAGTGCAATGGCACAATCTCAGCTCATGCAACCACTGCCTCCCAGGCTCAAGTGATTCCCCTGCCTCAGCCCCCTGGGTAGCTGGGATTACAGGTGCCTGCCACCATGCCTGGATAATTTCTTTTTTTGTATTTTTAGTAGAGACAGGTTTTCACCATGTTGGCCAGGCTGGTCTCGAACTCCTGACCTCAGGTGATCCACCTGCCTTGGCCTCCTAAAGTGTTGGGATTACAGGCATGAGCCACCATGCCCAGGCTGGAGTGCAGTGGTGTGATCTCTGCTCACTACAGACTCCACCTCCCAGGTTCAAGCAATTCTCCTGCCTCAGCCTTCTGAGTAGCTGGGATTACTGGCATGCACCAACATGCCTGGCTAATTTTTGTGTTTTGGGTAGAGATGTGGTTTTGCCATGTTGGCCAGGCTGGTCTTGAACTCCTGACTTCAGGTGATCCGTCTCCCAAAGTGCTGGGATTACTGGATGAGCCACCAGTGCCCAGCCTGTGGGACAGTTTTTAACAACAAATTTTATTTCTTTAATAGGTACCTATTTAGGTTATCTGTCTCTCCTTTCATAAATTTGCATCTTTCAAGAAATTTGTTCATTTCGTCTATCTTGACAAATTAAAGGAATGGAGTTGATCATAATGTTTCTTATTATTTTAATACCTGTAGAATCTGTAGTGATTTCACCTTCCTCATTCTTGATACTAATAATTTGTATCTTGTCTTATTTTTTTCCTGATCAGTCTGTCTAGAGATTTATCAATCTTATTGATCTTCTTGAGTCAGCCTTTGTTTTCATGGACTTTTCTCTATTTTCTTTCCCCTTTCTGTTTTATTGATTTATATTCTCATCTTTATTTTTTCCTATCTTCTCACTTTGAGTTTAATTTGATCTTCTTTTTTTGTTTACTCTTACGTGTCCCTGCTTGGAAGGGACACTTGTGAAGTTTAGGTCAGAGCTTTCTATTCTCCTTGGCTTATATCTGTCGTCTAGGAAAATGATATTTCTATCACCTTCTGGATAAATCACACTATTATCTATGCAGGCAACAATAGCACATATTTTCTCAAAGACTACCTTTGCCCTCAAGTTAGGTTTTATTTTTCTAGCAGTCTAAAGGTCATGAAATAAATTATAAAATAAAAACAGTGGGTCTTCAAGCTAGATGATACTGTTTTCTTTCTTGCATGGACAATTATTTTAAAATATTTTGGTTTTTCTGCACTTATTATTTAAATATGACTCCCCACCCCCACTTGAATCTAGGGACATTGTAGTTTTCTACTGCAGACTTTATTTCTGGTTTATACTGGGAATATATTGTTTATCATTTTCAATGAAAGCATTCACTGGTTAAACTTCCTTTTAAAAATAATAATGGATCTTTACAATTTCTTTGAGCTGCTCAGTGTGTATAATGTGTTGAATTTTCTGTAAGTGGTTGGGAGGTAGAAATAGATACTTTATCTCTATTTTAGCCATTTCCAAAATTATATATCTCAATAGTCTTGTCAATGCATCATTAGTCCTATGACTGAATTAATGATTACTTTTAGTAGTCACTTAATTTCTTACTGATGATGATGATTCTACTTCTGTGAATCATCTTGGATGATTCTCTAAAATCTTAGAAAGCTGATTTTGTTAATGCTATGCATATAACACATCAATGCATTTTCTCTATTAAAAGAATTAAAGTGTTATAGGTAGATCAGAATTTACCATTACTAACTCCTCAGTCCTCCTTATTTCCCTGTTACCAGTTTGGTATATTTATATATTAGGTTGATCCATATGAAATTGCCAATATTATTTCTGAACTGATGAAAAGCAGCAATTTCTTATGAGTCAACCTATTATATGTGCCCATAGACTACATATAATGAATTTGCATGTTTTTATATTATAGTGCTATACCTCAAATACTGTTCTGCAATTTATTTTTTCACTCAACAGTGTCTTTTGATAATTTCTTTCATGGCAGTCTATACAAGTTTCTACCTCCCTACTTTTAAAATGTTTCGTACTTTCCTAATGTTTGGATTTGTCATTGCTTTACTTACTCCCTAATGATTAATATTGGCATTATTAACACTTGTAGTCATTAGGGTTCATATGACTATAAATTGCTCTTATAAAGCATTAGTACTATCCATTAAAACTGCTTTTAGGCTGGGCACGGTGGCTCATGCCTGTAATCCCAGCACTTTGGGAGGCCGAGGTGGGCGGATCATGAGGTCAGGAGATCGAGACCATCCTGGCATCCTGGCTAACATGGTGAAACCCCATCTCTACTAAAAATACAAAAAATTAGCCGGGCATGGTGGCAGGCGCCTGTAGTCCCAGCTACTCGGGAGGCTGAGGCAGGAGAATGCCGTGAACCTGGGAGACAGAGCTTGCAGTGAGCCAAGATTGTGCCACTGCACTCCAGCCTGGGTGACATAGCGAGAGACTGTCTCAAAAACAAACAAAAAAAAACAAAAAAACTGCTTTTAAATGTATTTGTATTGAAAAATACCGAGATGTAGTCCTTCTATTTAGTTAACCAACCAAACTTCCTTCCTTTTTTTTTTTTTTTTTTTTTGGGAGACAGGGTCTCGCTCTGTCCCCCAGCCTGTAGTGCAGTGGCATAATCTTGGCTCACTGTAACCTCTGCCTCCTGGGTTCAAGTGATTCTCCTGCCTCAGCCTCCTGAGTAGCTGAGACTACAGGCGTGTGCCACCATGCTCGGCTGTTTTTTGCATTTTTGGTAGAGACAGGATTTCACCATGTTGCCCAGGCTTGTCTCGAACTCCTGAGCTCAAGCAATCCACCCACTTTAGCCTCCCAAAGTGCTAAGATTATAAGCATGAGCCACCACACCCAGCTGGTTAATCTTCTTTCAGTTGTTCCTCAAGAAAAGTAATTCAGTTGTATTATGTTTTGACCTTGAACATAACCTGTTGTGTTTCAACTGTCTTTCCAGGCTTCGATTGTAAGCTTTTTAAAGAAAGAGGATTGTATTTTATGATTTTGGCAGTGCCCTCCTTGTCTTCTTCTACAACTTCTAGTTCAGAGCTTTATTTTGTTTCATAATCACTCTAGAAATTATTAACAAACCAGTGGGTATTTAGTTGATTTAGTCAAATAGAACTAAGCCCAGACTGAACAATATTGGTTGATAATCATTTGGCTAATACTGAAATTTTGATGTTATTCAAAATAATATTCTAAAGCGGTGCTAATAGAAATATAATGAGAACCACATATGCACCTTAAAACTTCCTAGTAACCACATTAATAAGTTACAATGAGCTGGGTGCAGTGGATCATTTGAGGTCAGGAGTTAAGAGACCAGCCTGACCAATATGGTGAAACCCCGTCTCTACTAAAAATACAGAAATTAGCTGGGCATGGTGGTGGACAACTGTAATCCCAGCTACTTGGGAGGCTGAGGCAGGGAGAACAGCTTGAACCAGGAGGCAGAGGTTGCAACGAGCTGAGATCATGCTATTACACTCCAGCCTGGGTAACAAGAGTGAAACTCCTCTCAAAACAAAGGTTATAGTGAACAGGCAAAATTAATTTTAATGCCTTCCATTTCGATATATCTAAAATATTACCATTTCAACATGTAATATGTAATTATGTGCTGTATTTTATGTTTGCAGGACATCTCAGTTCAGACTAACTACATTGCAGATCCCAAGTGTGTGTCATTAAAATAGTGATAGATTTGTGTGTGTACATACATATAATATTATCATTTATAGTTTCTTGATTAGAATTCTGCATAATCAAGTCTTACTAAGACAGGTTTATTATATTTTCTCATTACTTATTGGTCTATAGGAATTCTACCTCTAAAGAGAGAATTAGGTGAATAATAAAATGTCATGACTCCATTTTATAGTACTATCTTAGCATTAATATTTGGAATTGTTATTCTAGACCTTAGCAAAAATATATGTTTTGATTATGAATTTTCTGAAGCTTTCCAGTTAAGTGTAAAACAAGTGAAAAATATAACTTCGTATTTTGTGTATTTTGCTTTTTTATAGGTGTCTACTGCAGATATTTCATCAAATAAGGATGATGAAGAAAACTCTATGCACACTACGGTTGTGTTGTTTTCTAGCAGTGACAAATTCACTTTGAATCAGGTTTGAACTTGACAATTTACTGTCTTCCTCATTGAATTCCTCCTTGCACATTTCTGCTTTATCTCATATACACAGAAGTGATCCAATATTTAGCTATAGAGCTATATTAGTTAAGAAGGTATTTTTAAAGTAAAATTTGTAGGTTTTTAGCTTAGTCTCCATTTAAAATATGTTCTGTTTTCTTAACTTCAGGATATGTGTGTAGTTTGTGGCAGTTTTGGCCAAGGAGCAGAAGGAAGATTACTTGCCTGTTCTCAGTGTGGTCAGTGTTACCATCCACACTGTGTCAGTATTAAGGTAAACATCCTTAAATTGAGTTAACAAATACGTATTGAATTTTTATTTGGTTTTAGTAGTAATATGAGCTCCTAGTTCTCACAATTAAGTATTATGATTATTAAACATATGTGACAGTATTTAAGCACTTTAAATACTGCTTTTAAGGGTTTCCTATCTCAAGAAATTTGCTCCTCTATAAATCTTATATTGTACTAATATCCTGCTTTTGTCTTGAAAAAGTAAAACATAAAAATATATGCATTTAATTTAAAAGACAATTTATACTATTCACAAAGATTTTAGGTTTAGGTGATTCATTTTGTCTGTTGATTTAAAAAGCTGAGAACTGGAGTATTTAGTAAAAAATTATTGGCCCATTCTATTCTTTCCCGCATTCTCTCTCCTCTGTGCTCACTCATATACAAAATGAGATTTTCTCCTTATAGCCAAAAGAAACAAAACAAGTGTCATATTTAATGCAATTGGTAATAATCGAGAGTCAGCACTGCTCACTTTCAAGCATTTCAGTATAGAGGCTTTCTGGGGAACGTTTTAAGTGGTATTGTGTGCTTGGTTTTAAATATGGACAGGTCTCAATACTTCACTAGTTGTATCTAAGGTTCTTGGTTTTTTCTTTTTAAGAACTCAGTCTTAATAAAACTTACATATTTGAATAAAGTGTCATGGCCACTGAAAGCAAGCATGGAGGTATAGCTGTACAGCAGAGGTCTTAAACTGTATACTCCATGGACCTGACTGTGGCCTGGGGGTTGGGGACCCCTGCTATAGAGGATTCAGATTTAAATTCAGAAGTTAGAATGAAAAAGAATTATATTCTTTATCTAAATGATTTCACAGTTAACTGAGAGAAAGTCAGTATAAGTTGAAAAGTTTATCAGTGTTAATAAGAATGAAAAATATGTACAATATGCAATTACTATTAAATATAATTTGCCCATAGTTGCACACTGATTTCATTATCATGGCAGTTAAGTATCAGAGCTTCTGGTTTCTCACTCTTCATTCATGTATTCAGCAACCATGTGCTAAGGTACTAGGACAAGCACTGGATTAACAAGATAAAGATGATACGGTGCACCCCTCAACAACTGTATGCTATAATCCGAAAAAACAAACAGGCAATTCCCATACAGAGTCATACATACAATGACAGGCATAAGACACCACTTACTGGAAGACATAGAAGGGATACTAGCCCAGGTTTGTGTCAATATTGTAGGCTTTTTGATAGAGGCAATTCATAGGTTGATATCTGAAGGGGAAGGAAAACACATGTAGGATAGAGGGAAGAAGTAAATGCAAAGAGGTGGAGGTGAGGATGATCACTGTGGAGCTCCGTGTAGTCTAGTTTGGCTGGATGCTAGAACAAAGGTGCAGAGTATGGTAAGTGGCGAAAGATAAGGCTGAATAACCTGACAAGAACCACACTGATGTGAGAGTTTTGATTCCATGCTAAGGAATTTTCAACTTTTCCCAGGTGCAAAAGTAAACCAATGACAAAGTCAATGACTAGAGATTTAAAATGTCACTGGTCAAGTGACTGCTTGTGACCTGTAATTGCTTAACCAATTATTATCACATGAGTGTGGGGTCTGTTAGCCTTAAATCACTACCTTAACCTTGAGAAGTTGATGATGCCTTTGTTTTATGAGAACAGTTTCAGTGTGCAGGCTGACAGTTCTATAGGGGTGGCAGAAGAAAAGTGTAGGGCCAGAAAAAAAGAGATACACAGACTTCTTGTGATTTTTTTTAAAGCTATGGAACATGATGAAGTAACAAAGCATAAGTATACTCTTCACTATGAATGATTATGTTTTCACATCTTTCACTAGATGTGTGTAAGAAAAAATATTTAATGTAGCATGTATTAACCAAGCAATTGAGAGGAATACCATTCACTACTTACAGTTTATTTCAGAAATCAATGATTTGAATTTAATTCATAAATTTTGGCAACATACCTTCATCTAGCTCTTGAACACCTGGCAGCATCTGAAATAAATCAAATATTACTTATAAAGTTTCAGTCAAACAAGAGACATTATCATGTAAACCCACTGCAAGTCAAGGAGCTTCTGTACTGTAGATTGATCATCCCTAAACTATAAATCTGAAATCCAAAATGCTCTACAACCTGAAACTTTTTGAGCACGGACATGACACCACAACTGCAATGTTCCACACCTGACCTCATGTGACAGGCTCTGGGGAAAACAGTAAAAACTTTGTTACCTGCAAAAAATTACTGTAAAATATTGTAGAGAATTACCTTCAGGCTATGTGCATAAGGTATATATGAAACATAAATGAATTTCATGTTTAGACTCAGGTACCATCCCCAAGATATTTCATTAGGTATATACAAATATTCCAAAATCTGAAAAAAATCTACTTTTGGTCCCAAGCATTTTGGACAAGGGATATTTAACCCGTCCTACTGGAAAAATAAAATTCGTTTTCAGTATGACAGAAATTAAGAGATCAGCTTACCAAACTTGAACGCTGCAGGATTTTCTCAAGCCGCTCAATTTGGTCATACTGTTTTTTAATCGTTTTTCTCATCATGGCATTTTCTACTTCAAGCCTAAAATGTGCATTTTAAAATAATTACTCTCACATATAATTGTTTTTAAATCATGTAAATTCTAAACAAACTTCTGAAGGTATAATTACACAAATTCTTAACAAACACAAGAGTAGATGACTGGGCTACTGTGTCATTTTTTCTACCTGTGTTTTGTTGATAATATGCAAAATTTAGGAATAATGTAGAAAAATGATGTATGTCAATATAGCTTACAGATGAAACATTTTTGGCTTCACAAAGACATACTTATCATAACTGATACAATTTTCATACTACAGTGCTCTTTTGCTTTATAAATACTCAAGTTATTTTGTGTGCTGCTTCAAATTTTACTTTTGTGCATCACCTTCCATCTCCTTAGTACATCTTATAGTAGCTGTAAGTTGATCCTGTATTTCTTGAAACTAAAACAAAGAATTAAAAAAAATTACATTTGGAAATGACCTAAATGTCCATCAGTAGATGAATGAATCAACAAAATATATATAAAATATTTTAGACTATCACAATCTTTTTTATTTAAAAAAGGTCAGAATCTAGGATAAATCATCCCATTACCTGTTTTTTGTAATTAATTTTAGTGGGACACTGCCACACCCCTTCAATCTGCATATTGTTTGTGGCTACTTTTGTGCTATAACTGCAGGGCTGAGTTATTGCAACAGTGATATTATGGCTCACAAAGCCTTAAATAATACTATCTGGCCCTTTACAGAAAAGTTCACAGACCCCTGCTCTAGGACTAAAACACAACATTCTTCTTGCTTTTGTATTACATTTTATCAGTTAAATACTCAAACTTGCAAACTGGTAAAATGTGGAAAGATAAAGGATTACCTCATGCTAAGCATTTATATTTTGAATTCCAAACACTACCACATCAACTATAATTTTATTTTTTGTATGTATGCATTTAGTTTTATTATAGCAAAGCAACTTGCACATTTTTAAATATTTAAAACTAAGCGTCATCTTTCCTTTCTAGGGAAACAACAAGAAAATTTAAAAACAAGCAGGAACAAAATTAAAATCGACAAAGTCAGTTCCAAATAAGATCCTACAGGATCTTATTGACTCTCCCATTGAATAGCAGGACTCAAGTCATCATTAGGAGAGAAGTAATTTAAAAGCGTCATCTTAAACTGCAAAGATGTCCATTAAACATGCCAAAGGAGAAACCTTGTTGTCTAAATGCCCACTTAACCAACCCGAACATCTCAAACTCATCCTTTGCTGACCTTATATAACCCCCTTTTTAGTTTAGCTTTTTCTATAAATAAGAGAAAATAGATACATGTTGGCAAATGCTAACTGTCCATATTCATATAGAGACAAAATGTGCTCTCTGAGCCCAATAGAAAGAGAGTAAGGATTTTCATCAAAATAAAAATTTATTCAGTAAAATGGCCTTTCTGAACAAGTTAACCTGAAATCTATGAAATAAGTAAACACAAGTTCTTTATACGTTCAGAAAAGTAGAGACTAAAAATAAGATAATTTTCTGAAACATTCCATTAGACACTGTCCTCTGAATTAATCTGGCTTGCCTCACCATGCCAACAGAGAAATCATTAAAAATAGACTGTTTAACAGGTAAAAAAAAAAAACTCTCTCAACTTCTGTGAGAAATGATGCATAATTCTCAACTTTCCTAAGGTTAAATATTTAAGAAAAAAATATGTATTAAAAATGGCAGAATAAAAGAGATTAAGATATAGGTGCATTATAATAAAATTTTAATAAAATTAATAATAAGGAAAATACAAAAGAAAGCCATCCACTATAAAATTTTAATAAAATTAATTATAATAAAAATACAAAAGAAAGCCATCCACTAAAATTAGTACCCCAAAACACTTTATATTAGTTAACTAGCTACAGATTAACAGTTGTTGGCATGCAAAGTTTCATACATACTTGACTTCTCATCTGGTCTAATTTCTTCCTTGAATCCTGCATCTCATTTTCTAAATAGATGCAATGACGCGATGAAGCATCCAGCAAAGCTTTTGTTGCTGATTGTTTAAGACATCATCTTGTTTTCATTGAAGCTGTCTCACAGCTACCTGATGTTATTTTTGTTACTGATTTTACAAATCACCTTATTATTAAACCATTAATAATATTTAACTCTAAAGCATACACTTTGAAAAATATCACCACACAGATCGATTCACCTTCTTTTCCTCATGTGTACACATTCCTGTGTATTACTGAATCCAGTTAAGGATACAGAAGGTGTTATCTTCCTGCCAAACTGGTATTGTTATTCACACAACATATTCAGCCCACTAGTCATTCCTCCCCTGATGAATCTGCAATGCTTAAAAACCTGAAGTCTCAAAAAGAAATGAGTATGTGGTTGAGACCGATGGTAGTAAATTATACATTGTGGAATGATTTCCCTCTTTCTTTTTATTAGAAACTCAAATCAACCTCAGAGTTCGTCACATTAAATCATCTGCTTAAATGCTTCCAATAGATGTCTATCTCAGAAGAAAAGTAAAATTACAGTGGCCTTAGATGCTCTAAGTAACCTGCCCTCCACCTCCCACCCTGACTCAGCTGCTATATCTCTCCTCCCTACTCACTCCATTCCTACTCTGAGTCCTGCCACTCCTCGTTAGTCTGAAATCCTCCTTAGTCTGAAAATGGGGATGCAGTGTCAAACTAATAAATCACAGATAGCTATGCCTCTTTTGTCCTGGACAAAGTTATATCCAAATGATAGTAATTGAGCCTTGAAATAAAAATTAGGAGCAAATTTTTTATTTAAAAATGAAAGTAAATTATAAATGCCAGTGGGAAGATTAAATCAAATATGATTTGGCTAAAATTTACTTCATTTTCCCCATATTATAAGTAAAATTAGATGCCTTTGAAAATAGAATGATCATATCTATACATAACTTGAGATTGAAATAGTTTCAGATTTAAGTCAAACTGACATGAAGAAGAACAAAATTTTACCTACTAAGACATATTTAAAGCTACTGAAGAAAAGTAATTATGAAATAGGGAATACACTTCAGCTCATCTAGGAAATCTGAAATTAACTGTCAAAGTACCCCAATTTATTGAATCAACTTCAAAATACCATTTTAGGTATGAGCATTTCCATATATCTGATTTATCATGGTCTTAAAATGTTGCAACATAAATACATTAAAATTATTATTTCAGTAGTATGACTATATTATTACTATTAGTCTATATTAACATTTTATAACTTAAAATTTTATAAGTGACACATTGACTTTAATCAGAGGAAAACATCTCTCAGATCTAACTTTGACTTGTTGGAAACAAGGAATGTTTCTAAGCAGTTATATTTATCATATGTATCCTTTTTTATATTCAACTAGATCCAACATTCAGCTGTAACCAAATATTACTTTAAATTGTGCTTCAGGAAGTTTGAAAAATACTTATTTTTCTTGATACTTACTTCTCTTTCTGCTTTCTCTTTTTCATATTGACGTTCTTTTTCTTTCAAATGATTCAATCCATTGACCAACATTTTACTGTTTTCTTCTAGTAAAAGACGGTGCTTTCTGCACTCAGCTTGAAGGCTTTCTACTCTAGCATGACATCTGGCTTGAATATTAAGTATTGCTTTTTCTTGATTGTCAGCTTTGTTGCGAGCATCATCCAGTTGCTGTTGAAGCAACATATTTTGTTTTTTTAGTTGACAAAATCTTTCCTGCTTTTCTATGCATTTTTCCATTGTACTGTATCCACTTTTGTACATTTTTTCAGTGTCCTTCATTCGACTCTGTTTTTGCTTTAGCTCACTTTGCACGTGTTCAAAAACCAAAGCCTTTTCTTTCAGAGCCTCTCTTGTGTAATGGAACTCAGTTTCGAGGACTCTGGACTTACTCTCAAGCTTTGGAAAGTTGCAGAGAGAAAGAATCAGAATACAAACATTCAAATTTTCCTGTAAATGACACCATTTATCTACTGTGCCCTGGAAAGCAAGCTCTTGATCTCTTTCTGATGAATGACTTTGATCATGATCACATAGAGCAGCATTGAGTCTACAACCACATGATTGCATTTCTGTTTCCAGTCTTTGCCTGCTCTCTCTTTGCTTCTCCAGTTTGGAATGCAGCGTTGTGTTTTCATCTGTCAGAGCAGCAAGCTGTCCACTGTAACAGGCTATCATTTTTGCTAATGTTTCCCCATTCCGTTTTAGAGCCTTTTGAAGGTCTTCACGCTTTCTTTTCACAATTTCAAAGTCTTTTAAGTATTTATTTTCCAGGTTTTGGTTTCTTATTGTGTCTTTTTCCAGCCTGAGCCAGGCAATTTCATCTTGCATCAAGAGGTTTTCATGCAGCAGGTCTTCTTTTTCATCAGTTTCAGAAATCTAAATAAAACAAAGAAAACTTGTAACTAGTATCCAATAGGATAACATATTGTGATTGTTTCTGAAATTAAATAATAACCCGTACATTTATACAATGAGAGGTTGCCATAACTGTATATCTAAATGGGAAAAAAGAAGTTGAGTCAAAACCTCAAACCTCATATGGCATAAATTCCCCAAAGTTCAAAAGTTTATTTGAAGACAGTGAATCCATGAAAGCAAAAAAGAAACCACTAGATAATTTTTTTAAATTTCAGGATGAAAAAAGGCTTTTACTGAATTACAACAATTTGCAAGGCATGAAGAATTAATAACTATGACCACATTAAAAAATTGGGTTTACACTCTAACATCTAAACTATACCTCTCCCTGTAGTGAGAGCCTTAGCTTGGCAGACATTTGGACAGATGAATGACATTTTCCAAATTCTTTAAGCTCCCTTTTTCTAAAATATTGTCTAGATATTCTACTTTTCTAATATTTTTATGGTCAGTTTTAAGAATGATATTTATTGATAAATGATAAGTCTAGGCATTGTACTAAGCACTTTTACACACACAAATCAATGAACTCATTTAGTTATAATTCTATAGCAAAAGGTTAAAAATATAAGGAAGCTGCAGGATTTTTCCCAGCTTTTCTGACTCTAATCCTAGTGCTCTTCCACCAAATCAATAACTTCTGTGAGGTAGATACATACATACAAAAATAATCTTCTATTTCAAGACACCAAAAGTCAAGAAAATTAAATTTATAAAGCTCTTTTTAGAAAATCATGAGATTATTTACTATTGTGATAACTTTTATTTCTTTTCCATAACATTTGAAACGTAATTAACATGAAATAGGGGAAAATATGCTGAACTATGTCACTAGGAACAAAATACTTACAATATCATTAAGTATATATTAAAGAATAGCATTGTTTACATAAGGCCTTTGAACTAAAATAAAATATTTCAAGATTTATTATAAATAATTGTAGCTATAAATGCCATGATTCTTTTTTTTATTTTTTATTTTTATTTTTTTTTTGAGACAGAGTCTCACTCTGTCGCCCAGGCTGGAGTGCAGTGGCGGGATCTCGGCTCACTGCAAGCTCCACCTCCTGGGTTCACGCCATTCTCCTGCCTCAGCCTCCCTAGTAGCTGAGACTACAGGTGCCCGCCACCACGCCTGGCTACTTTTTTTTGCATTTTTAGTAGAGACAGGGTTTCACCGTGTTAGCCAGGATGGTCTCGATCTCCTGACCTTGTGATCCGCCTGCCTCAGCCTCCCAAAGTGCTGGGATTACAGGCGTGAGCCACCGCGCCCGGCCCACCATGATTCATTTTTAAGATGAAATAAAATTTGGGGACTGTTTAGGTCTAAATAATATACATTAAATGAAAGAGATATTGTAAGTAATATTAATGAGTAGAAATATGAAGTTTTACCAAGCATTAATTTACCTGATTTGAATTATTTCCTCCTGTCTTCAATTCCACCTCCACTGATTCAAGAGCCGGTTTAATTTGTTTTGTCGTATCAGCTTCTATCTTCCATTGCTCTTTTGTTATTCTTAACTTTTCCCTAACTTTTTGGTGCAACTCTTCAACATTTCTTCTTTTCTTTTTTTCTTGCTGCATGGCAAATCTGTAAATATACTTATCTTAGAATTTATCTTATCAGTGAGGACTAAGCTCTAATTTTTTATCTTGCCCAAATTCCTACCTAAGGGGTCCAGGGAGTCATGCTCTACAAACCATGGATTCTCATCAGATGGGTTTTATTTGACCCTGTATATTGTGACTTGCTTTTCAATCTGACTCTGGCATAACATTATGAGACAAGGAAGAAAATATTTAATCCAAAATATATTTCCTTGCCATGCCTTGAAATTGCCCTGCAAAGTCTCTTGTGGGAAAAATCCACATTCTATAGAGTACCCCCTTTCCCCTTTGTTTTCCTTCCTTTCTATGCAGATCCAGGGGATAATCAGCTAACAGCCAGGCACCCTTTTGGGTCCGATAAGAAACATTTTACAACTGCTCTCTCTGAAGTCTGCTGAGAGATTTCTCTGCACAATAAAACTAGGTCTCCACAATCATTTATCTTAACCTGAACATTTCTTTCCATTAATCCCAGCTCTTCAAATAAACTCAACCAATTGTCAACGAGAAAATGTTTAAATTTACCTATAGCCTGGAAACCCCAGCTTTGAGTTGGCCTGCCTTTCTGAACCAAACCAATGTATTTCTTAAATGTATTTGATTGATGTCTCATGCCTCCCTAAAATGAATAAAACCAAGCTGCGCCCCGACCACCTTGGGAACATGTTCTCAGGACCTCCTGAGGGCTGTGTCAGGGGCCACAGTCACTCATATTTGGCTCAGAATAAATCTCTTCAAATATCTTACAGAGTTTGACTCTCTTTGTTGATATTAGAAAACATTCGTATGTTGGTTTATTATCCTAAAGAAATTTCTATGTTCTTAAATATTATTTTTCTTTCTAGTTCTCATGTTTTTAGTTTCTCACCTAAATCTCATCCAAAGGACATGTGTAAGTTGAAATGTATTGATAAAAGAACAACCTGCATAAGTTTCTGTTACTAGTAACTCCAGCAAATAGTATGAAAAAGGATGTTGAAAATTATTCAGTAAAGTTACAGGATAAAAATTATCTTTTCTTCACACAGTAATTACTCCTCAGTTAGGATGAATCATTTAGTTAATTAACATAAAGTTACTTTTTATAAACAAGTTGATACATTCACTAGAAATACATTTTCATCTTCATGAAACATTCATTGCAAGTATCCCTAAACATAATTTATATTGTAAGATAGTATTTTTGATGTCTTTATGAAACATATCTACAGATTATTGTAATCCAAGACTAGGTTAAGAATGTAATATGTTACCCTACACTTTTTAAGATTGTTTTTTGGGTAACACTTCCAGTCTATCCTGTTGATTAGTATGTATTTTATAACCAATTTTAAAATATGTTTTGGAACAACACAAGATCTAATATTTAATTAAATAATAAAGAATAATACATGTCTTCAGCATAAAACTGAATTAATTTTATCTACATAGCAGAGACAGAGATGTTGAATAAGCTAATCAGTAATCACTTTCTATTTTACTTTTTATTCCCTGCATATTAAGAATAAAACTGGATTCCTTTTTTTTTTTTTTTTGCGAGGGAGTCTCATACTATCACTGGGCTGCAGTGCAATGGTGCAATTTTGGCTCACTGCAACCTCTGCCTCCCAGGTTTATGTGATTCTCCTGCCTCAGCCTCCTGAGTAGCTGGGATTACAGGTTCAACTACAACACCTGGCTAATTTTTTGTATTTTTAGTAGAGATAGCATTTCACTACGTTGGGCAGACTGGTCTCAAACTCCTGACCTCGTGATCTGCCCACCTCGGCCTACAAAAGTGCTGGGACTACAGGCATAAGCCACTGCACCTGGCTGATAGTTTTTAAAATAATTATTCTGTGTAAAGAAAAATATCTGTTTTATACTCTGTTGGTCGAATTATAAATTAATATAAACATTCTTAAGAACAATTTAGAAATATTGATCAAAGATCTAAAACAGATCTAAAAAAGTGTCTATACTTTAACCAGAAGAATTTATCCAAGGTAAATAATTAGAAATGTAGAAAACTATGTGTATATAAAAGATGTTCCTTGTAGCATTATTACAAAAACTTTTTAAAACCTAAAATTCAATTCATCAATTAAATAATGAGATTTCCAAAGCATAATATTCTATACAGCCATTAAAACTATGATTTAAAAGAATATGCATTTAATTATTAGAGAAGTATTCACAATTAAGAACTAGTGATATTATATCCAATAATTTCACACTCTATAAGATTAAGAAGCTTTCTTCCTTGTTAAATCCTAGAAGGAAAGTTCATAATTACAAAACCTCTCCTTATATGTCTTTAATATAAAACAAATAGTTCAAACATTTATTTAAAACTAGGTCATACCTCAAACTACAGAGTTTTTTCCAATTCAAGTGCTTCATGCTCTAACTGCGATTTTATTTCTTCTTTTTCAGATAGTCTCTTTTGTAGTACACTAGCCTTATTTTTCATTTTTTTGAATTTTTACTCCAAGTTGCTCACAGAGATTTTCTTTAAGTTCTATTCATCTTTTACACAAACAAAATGTATTTTTAATTTTCAATAGGTGAACACAATCTGTAACCGGGAAAAAGCAAAGTAGAGATAAAATACATGAGTAGATTTCTGGATATAAAGGACTGTGCATTTTTAACATGTATTCATTCAGACACTGAACAAGTATGTACATATTGAGTGCCTACAAGGTGGAAGATATTATAATAAGCTCTGAAGATAAGACAACACTTCTGCTATTATTTTAGCTTAAAGTATAGCGAAGAACCAAGATAAAAAGATGACAGTTATAAACTCAGATGGGTCCTGTAAAAAAGACACAAACCATAGTTATATGATTGCATAAGATAATTTGATCTATACTTCACCCAGGGAAGATTTCCGTGAGGAAGAGATGCTACACTGAGAAATGAAGGATGAGAAAGAAGCAGTTAAGCAAAGAGGAAAGAAAAGCACTCTGGCCAGTTTGCAGCATGTGCTGTGCTGAAGCTCTGCTGCAATCTGTTACTAGCTCTGATGGAGTAACAGATACTGATTTTTCATCTTATCTGAATGAATAAAAAACAAAACAGACAAAATACATTAAACAATGATTTTCAACACAGTGGACTTCAGGCAATGAAGATGGTAGGTGATCACTGAAAGACAGAAAACAAATATAGCAGGCATTACAAATGTCCCAGCTCTTTTGACAGAGTTTTAACAGAGGTTCGAGGCCATGAAAAAGGGAGAAAATCTGACATAGAGCTGGGGTGATGAAGCTGAGAGGCTAGGAAAACCAAAGCAGATAGAGATCACAGGACAGAAAACTGGAGAGAAAAAAGCAGTACAGGAAACAAATCCTGGAGGTGTGCAGAGATTCCCTCTTGGGTATTTAGTGGAGTAATGAAAAGTGCTTGTGTGCTAGGAAACTGCCTAAGAACAATGGAAAATAAAATTTAAAAAAAGTTAAAGAAAATTAGCAGAAACTATGTCTGGGGTTCACACAATGACTGGAAGAGGGTCCATTCCCATGAGCCAGGCCAAAATACCACATACTTCACAGGACAATGAATATTCAGAAAGGTCTTGCCTCAGGAGTGAGGAATTACCCCAAATCTAAAAGCAAGCATGGAAAGATTTTAAGTAAATCTCTGTACTCCAAATAAAACTCAAGACAATAAGTGTAAGCAGGGAAGGTTTTTTTTTTTAAAAAAAAAAAAAAGGAACCATACTTGCAGAGATGCAAATTACATTGTCAGAAGTAAAAACTATAGTGGATGGAAATAAACACAAATTAGAGATAACAAAGGAAAAATTCCTAAATTTGACACAATAAACTGCAAGAAACTTTCAAGCAGCTCACAGATAACTCCCCAAATAAAAAAGAAGAGACAGAAAAAAAAAATAAAGAAAAAATGGCCCAAAATATTCTAACCCTTAATACAAACCATAATCTCACAGATTCAGGAAGGAAGTGTCTGGGACAGAAAAAAATGAAAATGTATCATTGTAATTTTTATACCATCTATGATGCATAATATTACTGAAGGTGAACTGTGATAAGTTAAAATTATATACTAAAAATCCTAAACACTAAGATAGCAAAACAGTTATCGCTAATAAACCCAAAAATATATATAAAATTGAATCGTAAAAAACAGTTGACTAATCTAAAAGAAAGCAGGAAAAGAAGGGGAACAAAGAACAGTTGGGACTAGTAGCAATCAAACAGCTACTAGACAAACATAACTGTATCAATAGTCACATTATAAATGACACTTGTCTAAGAACCTCAACTATAATACAGACTGTCAGGCTCAGCAAGAAAGCAAGACCCAACTGCAGGCTGCCTATAAGAAATGCACTTTAAATGTAAAGACACAAATTGGTTGTAAGGATGGAAAAAGATACATGCTAACAGTTGCCAAAGGCAGCTGAGCAGGAGTGGCTGCATTAATAACAAAGTAGATTTCATAGCAAAAAAAAAAAAATTCCAGCAATAAATAACAAATGTCATGTCACAATAGTAAAAGGTTCAGTTAATCAACAAAACATAACAATCCTAAGTATTTATGCCCCTAATAACAAACCAGCCTCACAATATATGAGACCAAAGTGGCCATAATTTGAATTGACTTTTAAAGCAAAACAAATATTTTACAGTGTCAAAATTGATCTCTTTAAATCGCTAAAAACTATTGAAATTCCAAATTGGAAACTTCAGAGTATCAAAATGTAAAAGTAGAAACATCTGAATAAAACCTTATATTTTTAGGCCAGGCACGGTGGTTCACGCCTGTGAACCATTTTAAGAGTCAGTTGATGAACTCAACATTATAGTTGTTTTTGTCTCGTTAGGAGGATCATGCTATCCTCTAAATCATATTCATTAAATAGCTATTTTAGCCATGAGATAGCACTTGGATGAATGAAGCCAATGTATTGATATTCAAGTTTATCTAATTTTTATAACAAAAATCAACAAAAGATATGTCTTATGCCTAATAGTAACGAAGAGAAGTAATTAGTCAATGTGGTTTATCCCAATTCTAGCTTTCTTTGCTTCATCCAGTAGTTCCTGGAGCTGCCAAAATCAAATCCTTTTTGTGTAAACATGCTAAATGCATCTGAAGTGAGTTGACTCACGTTTCCTCAGCAGAAACCCCAAAATTACATAAATAACTTCTTCTTTTCCCTCCTTCCTGCCTCACAATCCCTCTTGCTTGAGGAAAATAATTGCTACATCAGTGGTCTCATTGGTTCTCCTTCCACAATTTTACTGGTTATTACAATAACTTTTCCGTCTGTTTTTAGCAATACGATGTGACGTCTGTAAAATCTATACTTCAACTCATTCTCCTTCCACCCTTGGTGAAAACATGCTGTAGAATTAAAGCAAAATTATGCTGTCCCCTGATCCCCTTATGTCTTGATCTGCTCTCCAATGTTTCTTCTTCCCAATTTCAATGTGGGGAAGTGTATAATATTACTGCGAAGATCATGTTCCAGATCAGCAGCATCAGCATCACCCGAGAATTTATTACAAATGAAGAATCTCAGGTCTGCTGAATCAGAAAGTGCAGCTTCGACGAGCTCCGCCCCGCTGATTTATTCGGGGAAGAGAAGTTATTTTCTAAATGATTGAAAATGACATTAAATGTGTTTTGCAAAATTACCTGTCCCACATTGTAGTGCATCCTTTTTTTTTTACATCAACAATTTATTTTTATTTACTTGTTTTTCTCAGCTATTAGTGGTTTATTTGCTTCAGTACCATATTTAATTTTTTTTCTTTTTCTTTCTTTTATTATTAAAGTTTTAGGGTACATGTGCACATTGTGCAGGTTAGTTACATATGTATACATGTGCCATGCTGGTGCGCTGCACCCACTAACTCATCATCTAGCAATAGGTATATCTCCCAAAGCTGTCCCTCCCCCCTCCTCCCACCCCACCACAGTCCCCAGAGTGTGATGTTCCCCTTCCTGTGTCCATGTGATCTCATTGTTCAATTCCCACCTATGAGTGAGAATATGCGGTGTTTGGTTTTTTGTTCTTGCGATAGTTTACTGAGAATGATGACTTCCAATTTCATCCATGTCCCTACAAAGGACATGAACTCATCATTTTTTAAGGCTGCATAGTATTCCATGGTGTATATGTGCTACATTTTCTTAATCCAGTCTATCATTGTTGGACATTTGGGTTGGTTCCAAGTCTTTGCTATTGTGAATAGTGCCGCAATAAACATAAGTGTGCATGTGTCTTTATAGCAGCATGATTTATAGTCCTTTGGGTATATACCCAGTAATGGGATGGCTGGGTCAAATGGTATTTCTAGTTCTAGATCCCTGAGGAATCGCCACACTGACTTCCACAATGGTTGAACTAGTTTACAGTCCCACCAACAGTGTAAAAATGTTCCTATTTCTCCACATCTTCTCCAGCACCTGTTGTTTCCTGACTTTTTAATGATTGCCATTCTAACTGGTGTGAGATGATATCTCATTGTGGTTTTGATTTGCATTTCTCTGATGGCCAGTGATGATGAACATTTTTTCATGTGTGTTTTGGCTGCATAAATGTCTTCTTTTGAGAAGTGTCTGTTCATGTCCTTCGCCCACTTTTTGATGGGGTTGTTTGTTTTTTTCTTGTAAATTTGTTTCAGTTCATTGTAGATTCTGGATATTAGCTCTTTGTCAATAAGTAGGTTGCGAAAATTTTCTCCCATTTTGTAGGTTGCCTGTTCACTCTGATGGTAGTTTCTCTTGCTGTGCAGAAGCTCTTTAGTTTAATTAGATCCCATTTGTCAATTTTGTCTTTTGTTGCCATGGCTTTTGGTGTTTTAGACATGAAGTCCTTGGCCATGCCTATGTCCTGAATGGTATTGCCTAGGTTTTCTTCTAGGGTTTTTATGGTTTTAGGTCTAATGTTTAAGTCTTTAATCCATCTTGAATTTATTTTTGAATAAGGTGTAAGGAAAGGATCCAGTTTCAGCTTTCTCCATATGGCTAGCCAGTTTTCCCAGCACCATTTATTAAATAGGGAATCCTTTCCCCATTGCTTGTTTTTCTCAGGTTTGTCAAAGATCAGATAGTTGTAGATATGCAGTGTTATTTCTGAGGGCTCTGTTCTGTTCCATTGATCTATATCTCTGTTTTGGTACCAGTACCATGCTGTTTTGGTTACTGTAGCCTTGTAGTATAGTTTGAAGTCAGGTAGTGTGATGCCTGTTGCTTTGTTCTTTTGGCTTAGGATTGACTTGGTGATGCGGGCTCTTTTTTGGTTCCATATGAACTTTAAAGCATCCTTTATTTCTGTAGCTATATTCAAAACAGAATCTGTCTTGTCACTTGTAGCCTGAAAGTAATTTGGAGTGAATTATCAATAAATAAAGAATGTTTCAAAGACCATACAGTTACTAATAAAAAATATAAAGGAGAGTTTACCTTCTCAGCCGGTTGTTTCTGAGAAGACACTGAAAAGCAAAAGGGATACATAATCACTCATATGTACGTATGATAAATTTATCCATACATCATGCAGTGTTATTATCAAGCTGTATCTTCCTGCCTGCACTAGTGTAGGCTTTGATGTTTCCTACTTTTTGTCTGGAGACTGGAACACGACAGAAATACACTGAAAAAAAAGGAATACAGGCTTCACAAAATATACCCTTACAATTTCAAACATGGTATGATTCGTGATATGTCTAAAACTAAAATAAAACCGTGTCAATATCAATGTGGATATGCTGAGTGATGAGGACAAATCAGAGGTGTAACTCACACACCTGAGAATCAATGTCAAAGCAGGTGGTACATGACCCAGTATGTCTTTCTTTCAAGAAATTAGAAGGATTTACACCATTATACTACAAACGTTCATCGTGCCCTTTAACTTGCCCAATAAGTAGAACATACACAATTACAATGACAATTCAGTTAAATGTACATTTCATGTCTCTTCAGTGGAAGTGTACTAAGTTGATCACCTTGGACATATGTTTCCTGAAATCTAGTAGATAATATTCATTATTTCTCACACCATGTGGTGTAATAATTTGCCTAAGTTTCTTGTATCCACTAGTTTAGCCTTCTGAAAGTTTCTTCATCCACTCATGGCACCAAAGGATAATATATTAGCCTCAATAAAAATATCATCAATTACCGACGTTAACATACTTCTACAAAGTAAAACTGCTACAAGCATTAGATATTGATAAGTTTTACATTCAGAAATCATCCCAGTATTCATTGAAAATGACCACTTTAGGAGTTAATTAGAATTCAACATCATTTTTGTTTCTAAAATAGCCTTGTTGGGATTATCATGTTATTCTCTAAAGAAGTTTCGTGAAATAGCTATTTTATCCAAGAGGTTGCTCCTTGAACAAGGAAGCCAATGTATTCATATGCAAGTTTATCTCATTTTTATAATTAAAGTCAACAAAACATGTATCTCTGATGCCTAATAGTAACAAAGAGGTGTAATGAGTCACTGTGGTTTATCCCAATTCTAGCATTGTTTCCTGCTTCCAGTATTTCTTGGAGCAGCCAAAATCAAATCTTCTTTAATGCAAATATTCCAAATGCATCTGAAATGAGTTCACTCAGGTTTCCTCAGCAGAAACCCCAAAATTACATAAATACTTTCTTCTTTTTCCTCCGTCCTGCCTCACAATCCCTCTTCCTTGAGGAAAATAATTGCTCCATCAGTGGTCTTCTTAGTTCTCATTCTACAGTGTTTGTGGAGTTATTCAGATCACTTGTCCCTCTGTTTATAACAATATGATATGATGCCTATAATATCTATTACTTCATCTCGTTCTCTTTCCCCTCTTGACGAAACATGCTGTAGAATTAAAGCAAAATTATGCTGCTCCCTTAGCCTGGTATGTGTTGAACTGCTCTCCAATGGTTCTTCTTCCCAATTTCAATGTAGGGAAGTCTATAATCTTACTACTCAGATCATGGCCAAGGACCAGCAGCATCAGGGTCACCTGAGAACTCACTACAAATGAACAATCTCAGGCATACTGAATCAGAACGTGCAGCTTAGATGAACTCTCCACTGATTTATTTGGAGAAGGGATGTTCTCTTCTATCTTGATTGAACGTGACATTAGATGTGTTTTGCAAAATTACCTGTCCCAGATATTGGTCCCCCCTTTATTTCTGTGGCTGTATTTGAAACAGAATATTTCTCATTACTTGTAGCCTGAATGGGATTTGAAAACAAAATAATACGTAAAGTAGGTTTCATAGACTATACAGTTAATAGTTCAACAGATAAATGAGACTTTAATTACCTTCTCAGCTGGTTGTTTCTGAGAAGACACTGAAAAGCAAAAGGGTTACATAATCAATCATATGTAAATATGATAATGTTATCCATACATTAATGCATAGATAGCATGTTAGCATCAAGTTTTATACTCCTGCCTGTATTACTGTAGGCTTTGATATTTTATACTTTGTTTCTTGGGACTAAACATGAAGGAAATACACTGAAGAAAATAGGAATACAGGCTTCAAGAAATATATACTGACAATTTCAAATGTGATATAACTTTCTCCATATGTCTAAAACTAAAATAAAACCATGTCAATATCAATGTGGATATGCTGAGTGTTGAGGACAAATGTGATCTAAAATCAGAGTCCAACTCATACACCTGGGAATCAACGTCAAAGCAGGTGATACATGCACCCGCGTGTCTTTCATGCAAGATATCAGAATGATTTGGAACATTTTACTGCAAATATTCGTCATGCTTTTTAACTTGATCAATCAGTGAGAAGGTACACAATTATAATGACACTTTAGTTGAATGTACACTTCACAGCTCTTCAGTGGAAGTGTCCTAACTTAATCAGCTTGGATATATGTTTGGTGAATTATAGTATGTAATGTTCATTATTTCTCACACCCATATGGTGTAATAATGTGCCTACATCTCTTGCATCTTCTAGTTTAGCCTTCCGAAATCTTCATCCACTCATGGCAACAAGGTATAATGTATAAACTTCATCAAAAAGTATAATAAATTACCAAATTTGACATACTTATACAAAATAAAATTGCTACAAGCATTAGATATGAATAAGCTTTTACATCTGGAAATCACGCCAATATTCCTTGAAAATAACCATTTGGGAGTCAAGTAATGAATTCAACATTATTTTCACTTCTAAAATAGTCTGGTTAAATTATCATGTTATTCTCTAGATAATTTTTATTAAGTTGCTATTTTATCCAATAGCTCCTTGAAAAACAAAGCCAATGTATGCATATTCACGTTTATCTCATTTGAATAACCAATATCAACAAAACATATACCTCTGGTGCCCAATAGTAACAAAGAGGAATAATGAGTCACTGTGGTTTATCCCAACTCTATCACTGTTTCCTGCTTCCAGTAGTTCCTGGAACAGCCAAAAATCAAATCATCCTTTATGCAAATATTCTGAATGCATCTGAAGTGAGTTCACTTAATCTAAGAGTTATAATTTAAAAAATCATTTTGTTTATGCTCATGAAGACTCCTGATGTTTTTACATTTCCTGGATTCAGCAGTTCGGCCTTCTCACCGTCTCTTCGTCCACTTTTGCAAAAACATACACATCAGTGAAATAATGTGTAATCAGATTCCTATGAAAATAAACTAAACAAAGTTTCTAAATCACTAGAGACTTCTTTTCTTATAAATAACCAACCAATACGACATAATACATATATATACATATGTCATGATTGTCACCATTATTGGCAGTTATCTGTTTAGTACTCTAAAAATGCATTCTTTGATTCCTTTTATCTAAATCTAGTTTCACATGATATACCATAGGGATCTCTCAGGTTCTTTCACAAAATAACTACCTCAGCAAACACAGATTTCCAAAAAAGAAAAACTGATGTGAACGAAGCATGTATCATTGATATGCAAAACTTCTAGGGAGAAGAAATGAGATCCTGTGGGTCACCTTCATCCTTCTAACCTCTGCTTTCCATTAAGTGACTTCCCACAAATCTCCTCATCAGAAACCTCCAAATTACCTAGCTAGCTGCTTTCTTTGTTTACACCTGCCCAATTTGACATACACTCTTTTTCGTTCATAAATCTAATATCCATATTGGTGGACTTGATTCTTTGACCTCTACATTCGTTTCTTCATTATTTTCACCACCACTGTAATGTGACATCTGTACAATCCTATTCTGACACATCTGAAGATAAGGTTTTGCTTTATTAAAATGTTAAATGTGTCAAGACACTTGACTAACGTGTACAAATTCCTTCTTCACAAAAGCAGCCCCATGGCCTCCTATCTCCCATAGACACGTTCACAGCTGTTCTTCACTCACATCCGTTTGAGTATCTATCATCTCTCATTTTGTCTCTATGCTTTCACCTCATATTATGAGTTATTATCATAGGCTCAGCAGCCTATCTTACCTATTTTCCTCTCCAGCAGACAGTACTGAGCAATAAAGTAGAATTTTCCAGAATATGAACACTTTTATGTACACAACACTTTGTGGAGCTATTTTATGTTTAACTACCCATAACACCACTATGTCTATGCTTTCCAGAGAAACAAGCTCTGAAATTTTATTGAATATAACCTATTTAAAAACTTCTTTAACTACAATGACAGTCTCTCCTTGATGCACCAAATCTTCAGAAATAACTTGTGAAGGCTTGAAAATATGTCAGTAATTGACATGAAAAATGAAGCTTGATGTAATTTTTTGCAGGTATAAAAAAGAAAAGCTGAGATCCTTACTAGATCCAGGAAGAGCAAAGTACATTAGACAGGAAATAAATATGGAACAGAAACATTTTCATTTGTAATGAAAATTCCTCTATTTACAGTTTTCAAAAGAGAAGAAAATACACACACATACACACACACACACACTCACACACAAAAACCAGAGCAATATGGCTTTACAGGGTGTTTCTTCATCAAAGACCTATTTGTCATTTGATATCTGGGAACACTCTATAGGGATCAACAAAGGGGTTCTAAATTGTGACCTGAGTAGTTTAGAGTTTATTGACCCTGTGTTTGACATCTTTTGAATCTGTAGTTGCATAGGCTGCTCTCTGACACCGGTTAGTGGCCTGGAAGCTATATTAACGTTAGGGGAGGTGGTGTGTGAGCATTAGAGGTATCCTTGCAAGGAAAGACTTGTCTTATCTCAATACGTCTTTTTTTTGCACACAAGAAAGTCAATGTTTGAGTCTTCTAAAATCTTCCTATTTCCAAGTTGCAGAGTACCATTGATTCCTAAACAAAGATCTAATTTTTGAGTCAGAGACGTGGCAAGGTAGTGAATCACCATTATAATTTAACAATCTTCAAGATAAAATTATCTCTCTGATAGTTAGATTTTGCCCAATTATTAAGATATTTGTATGTTTCCTTAAGAAAGGAAGACGCTAGTCTCTTGAGCAGAGACTATAAAGGCCTCAGATGATCATTTATAATTTTATGCTCTTTTCTTTAACACCTTCAACACAGTTGGAAGCAGCCGATATTCTCCAGAGTTGTTGTGTTTTTGAAACCAAATCCATGGTTCAGTGGTAGAAAACTGGGTTGATCCAAGCTGTTTTCAGTAAACACTTCATTTCAGGTGACCTATTTCATATTAAATAATCTCTAGATCCTGTCTTCAAAACTAACTAGATCAGATAACTTACCCTGGATTTTCCACTTTTAGGGTCTGTGAGCTGCAGTTACTTTTGTGAAAATGATTGCAATGACAAGATAGAGTTGTACATGGGGAAAACGTTTTGACTAAGCATAGTGGTATTTCATATGAGAATTTGAGTTACACACATTTGAAAATTATAATGGAGTCTCTTGGCTGAGCTTTAAAGAAAAATAGCGTTTAGGCTAAAAAGGGAACTGCTACCTCTCCTAAAATCAGAAAGATGTTACAGTAATTCTCCATTCTCTAGAATTATCAGGAAGCACCTTTGTGATGATTTACTTTTGCTCTTGGGAGTGTGAGCCCATGTAGTCGTGGAACCATCAATGAGAATGATGGCTTTCTGATCCCAAAGTCATTCGTTCGGAAAACAATATTTTTCATAAATTTGAAAGTGAGAAGGTTTGATCTTACCATTCCCAAGTAACTCTCTTAATAAGAGGGATCAGCCTGCTTCAGTGACAGCTGTCACCTTCCAGTGCTGAGAGTCATCTTTGAGTTCTCCATTTCACTCCCTACACTCCAATTTAGCTGCAGTTCTCTTGGCCAGTCCTCTGATATACATCCATGGCCTGACGACTTCTCACCACTAATACCACTCATACTCACAGCATTCTCACCTAAGTCACTACCTATTTTCTGTGGATTACAATAGCCTCCAAATTTATTTGCTCACATAACCTATTTATTCTTCACAGTGCACGAGATACACCCCTTTGAAATGCAAACACAATCATGTTATTCTCTGGTGAAATTATCTCATATATTCCTATCGCATTTAAAATTAATTCAGAATCATCCCAAGATTATCAAAACCCTACATGCTCTTCCACAACATGGTTTACTTCCAAGATATCTCTTCAACTTTCTTTTCACTGTACTGAATTGGTGACTAATAGTCATATTTTTGTTTTTGCTCAAAAAGTCTTGACTTGTAAATTTTTCAGTTTCTCCTTTATCCACAGGTGACTCTTTCCTCATAAGGCGAATTGCTTGCTTCCTTGAGTTCTGCTCTCAAAGATACCTTCATTTTCTACCTAGTATTAATAACTTTAATCACTCATTATTCCATTACTATGCTGTATAGTGTATACAATTTCTGTTCTTGGTCATGTTATTAACTAAAGTATTTATTGGTTCCAGTAGTTTATTCCATAAATATTGTACACATAAAAATTATGTTATTTTTATTGCTGTATGTTCAGCTGCCCAATAACTGTTTGAGGATTAACATATTTGTTAAATGCACAAATACATTCTTTCACAAATATTAGTTTAATAATTTTATATTAAACTCCCTATATACTTACAATATGAATTAGATAACTCAGAATAAACATTCCGTTGGAGAAAACTAAACAATTTGTTATAAAACATCCTTAAAAGCATCAGAAAGTTAATACAGCAATGAAGAATTACAGGACCAAATTAAGAATGGTATGCAAGCCTGTTTGTGAGGCTTATGTTTGGGTTATCTCTTTACTTAGAGTGACTATAAATCTCAAAAGAGAACTAAAGGGAGAAATAACCATATCTACTAACATGGTAAGGGTATTTAAACATCTCTTAGTAATTGAGAAAATTGAAAGAAAAGAAAAAAGAGGGAGAAGGAGAAACAGAGCGAAAGGGATAATGAAGGAGAGAAAGAAGAGAAAGGAAGAGGAAGAAAAGTAAAAAGGTGGAGGAGGGGGAGGGAGGAAGAAAGAAAGGTGAAAAGAAAGAATGGTAAAGTTTTCAACAACATAATTTATCCTTCTAGAATATGAATGATGGTCTATTTGATGATGTCCCACAGATTCCTTAGTCTCTGCTCATTTTTTATTTGTTATTCTTTCTGTTTCTCAGAGTCAGTATTTTCCATTTTCTTATCTTCAAGTTCATGACTTCTTCTGTGTGTGCAAATATACTCTGAAATCCCTCTGGTGATTTTTGAATTATTAACATTGTAGTTTTCCACTCCAGAATTTCTGTTATCTCTTTGTTGATATTCCTACTTTTTAATATTTTTTGTGATTCCTTGATTTCTTTGTTTATGTTTTCCTTTTGACATTTGAGTATAATGAAGAGAGTTGTTTTAAAGTCTTTGTCTAGTAAGTTTGAAGTCTGGGTTTCCTTAGAGATATTTTCTGTCAGTTTGTTTTGTTCCTTTGAATGAGCCATACTTTCCCATTCTTTGTATGCCTTGTAACTTTTTTTGAAAACTGGACGTTATAATAATTATAATTACTATATGGTTACTCTGTAAATCAGACCCCCACCCACAAACACACTAATGTTTTGTGGTTTTAAATTTTATTTACTTATTCTCAAGGTTTTTATTTTTAGTGAAATTTTCCAAAGTGATGTACAAAACTGTTTTCTTTATAAAGTGTGGTCACCGAAGTCTTTTCATTTCCTTAACGAATGTTAAGCTAATGTTTTGACAGTGATTTTCTTGTATGTCAGGAATTAAGCAAACAGGCAAATACAACAAAAACAAAGAAAAACAAGTAATCATTATCTAGCAAAATATGTCTCTAGGCCATGTAGACTGGCTTTGTGCTGGGTTCTTTAAAGCCGCCACAAAGTGTGTGTTCACTCTTGCACTGAGTGAAGTTCAAGTTCACTCTTGCACAGAGCTTGCACTGAGGGGAGGGATCGGCCAAGGTAAAAGTGTAGGGTCTTCTTATGACATTTGCCAGCATGTGGCTTAACCTATGCATAGATGTGACTTTCTAGACTCTCCCATGTACGTGAATGATTTTGAATGTCTTAGTTTTCCAAATACTCTTCTCCAACTTTTCTTCCTGTGCTGAAGGTGATCTACTATATGTGTAAACTCTAATTTTTGCCCTAAGCGTCTGTGGTTTGTTAGGTCTCCTTGCAGAGTTTCTTAATAATGTTCATTCCTTATCTGTTCTGTATTCTAGCAACACAGAAAAAAAAAAAAAGCCTTTCATTAGTCCTTTAGGTATCCCCCAGACCAGTCAGAACAGACACATAATAATTTGCGGGTAAGATCTTCTCTTGTTCCTTTGGACCAAGGACCAGGGTTCCTCACTGGGAACGTGGGC
This sequence comes from Homo sapiens, assembly GCF_000001405.40. Lineage (NCBI taxonomy): Eukaryota > Metazoa > Chordata > Mammalia > Primates > Hominidae > Homo > Homo sapiens. Next base: position 18,089 of record NT_187501.1, on the reverse strand, counting down.
TTCTGACACTTCAAAACTGCCAATTTGCTGGGGCAAACGCAAGTTAAAAATGTCATAAAGTTTTCCAGTTGTCTTTTTCTTGAGTCTGCTTTCACTCGGTTGTTGTAATCTTTTGACCATTTTCCAGAGTTTTGGTAAAGTTTATTCAGACAGTTTCTCTTAGTTGCGTGATGTTTCTGTGGGGAAATGAAAGATTGCAGCTGTCTCCACTGCCATTTTGCTGATGCTCCTCTTTTGTCAATTTTTGCTTCATGTTATTATGCTTTGTTATTAGTTCATGTATTAGTTTTCTAGGGCTGCCATAACCAAGTAACACAAACTGGGTGCCTTGAACAACATACATTTATAGTCTTATAGTCCTGGAAGCTAAAATTCTGAGCTTGAGGTGTCAGCAGGGATGGTCCCTTCAAGGGCTATGAGAGAAAGTCTGTTCTATGCCTTGTGTCTAGCTTCTGGTGGTTTAGTGGAAGTCTTTGGCATTCCTTGGCTAATCTCTGCCCTCATAATCACATGGTACTCTCCCTGTGTGTATGTCTCCCTCTACTCAAATTTCTTCTTTTTATAAGAACATCAGTCATATTGAATTCAGGCTCATCTGATTTTATCTTAACTTGATCACCTGCAAAGAACCTATTTCCTCATGAGGTCATATTCAGTGGTTAGGATTTCAGCATCTATATAGAGGAAACAATTTAGCTCATATCTGTGCATACGTGATTGTAATAGCTATGTCTTCCTAAAGCGTTGACCCCCTTCTTACTACAGTATAAATTTTTAAAATCCTATTCACATTTTTAATAGTCTATATTGTGTGTTATGAGTATAAGGAGTTCAGTGTTCTTATGATTGCCCTTTGCATGATATTTTTTGTCATCTTTTTACTTTCAACCCATTAGTATCCTTGCATCTCAGCGTATATTGGGATCACTTGTTTTAATCCAGTCTGACAATCTGTGCCTCTTGATTGAATTTTAATCTGTTCACATTTAATATTATAATTGGTATAATTCTGTTTATGTCTGCCATTTTACCGTTTGTTTTGTATATTTCTCAAATATTTATCTTTATTGCTTTATTTTGCAATGAATGAATATTTTCTAAAATAGGGAACTTTAGATTACTAATGAATTATTTTACTATATATTTTAGAGAATTTTTGTTGTTGTTGTAAGTTTACCATATAGGTATATGGAAAATTAATTATTCAAATCATCTTCCAACTTATACTAGTAAAATTTTAGTAACACATAGAAACATCATTCTTATACAAATCTCTTTTATTTCCTCCATTTTAAAGTATTATCACTTTACACATTACATCTATTAAAGTTACAAAGCCAACAATACATTTTAGTAATTATTACTTTACCAACTAGAGTGATTACCTTATCACGATACATTTTTCTTCCAACTACCTCCTTTTTGAAGTTACTGAAAAATATGTTATAGACATATTACATTTCTACGTGTCAAATACTCAGCAATACATTATGCATATATTATTATTATTGAGACGGAGTCTCCCTCTGTTGCCCAGGCTGGAGTGCAGTGGCACAGTCTCCGCTCACTGCAAGCTCCATCTCCTGGCTTCATGCCATTCTCCTGCCTCAGCCTCCCGAGTAGCTGGGCCTACAGGCACCCGCCATCACGCCCGGCTAATTTTTTGTATTTTTAGTAGAGACGGGGTTTCATTATGTTAGCCAGGATGCTCTCGATCTCCTGGCCTCGTAATACGCCTGCCTCAGCCTCCCGAAATGCTGAGATTACAGGCATGAGCCATCGTGCCCGGCCATTATACACATATTATTTTATAAACAATTTATGATAAACAGAAAACATGCATTTCTACTGCCTTTTATAATGTTAATTTTACGTATACCAGTGCTTTTTAAAAAAAGTGGATTCAAATGACTGTCTTGTGCAACTTGCTTTTAGCCTTAGGAATTTATTTTGGTGTTTTTTCTTTTTTTGTTTGTTTGGTAGGTCGGCCAGCAATAACTTCAGTTAATATTTCTGTTTCTCTGGGTAAGTCTTTGTGTTATCTTCATTTTTGAAAACTAATTGCTGGATAAGGAATTTGTGGCTGACAGTTTTTTTTTTCCTTTGCATCTTTTGAATATATTATTCTACTGCCTCTTGCCTTCCATTGTTTCTGTTAAGTCAGCTGTTAATCTTACAAAACCTAGGTGCTCAAAAAATAAACATGTGCATGAATATTTACAGCAGTAATATTCATACAGTCAAAAAGTGGAAACAATCCATATGCTTGTTGACTCATAAATGGACACCCAATTTTCAGCTGTAACAAAGAATGAAGTACTTATACATGGTATAATATGGGTGAAATTTGAAAGCATTATGTTAAGTGCACAAAAGGACAAATATTACTTGATTTTATTCACATCAAACATCAGGAATTGGCAAATCAATTGGGATATAAATCAGATTAGTGGTCATTAGGGCTCAGGGAAGCAGAATAGGGTGTAACAACTTTATGCTTAATGGGTTTTTAGAAGGGACATGATGAAATTGTCCTGGAACATTGTGAATATACTAAAAGCAACTGCGTTGTATGCTTTAAAATGCTTAAGTTATTAATTTTATATTACGTGATTTTTACCTTAAAAAAAGAGAAAACAGCCTTACTCTATACATAATAAACTCAAGATGTGTAACAAACTTATATGTGAAATCCAAAATACTATAATATTTAAAGAATAGCTAAATAGAATAACACTAAAATTTAACATAATGAAATATTTCCTTAAAAAAGAAAAAAGCACAGTAATTAAAAGGGGAAATATAGTTAGTATTTTTTCTCTCCATTAAGCATGCCATTAACTGAGTAAAAAATCAAGCTGCAATTATGTAAACTACATTTTCTAAAACCATAAAGAAAAGAAATGAAAAGGGATTTGGAAAAAAAATCCAAAGGTAGAGTCAACTACACAAAAAAAGCTTAGCGTCATTAATCATTATGAAAATGAAAATTGTAACTGAAATAGGATAAAACTACAATTCAAAGAGAAAGACTAAAATTTCAACCCCCAAAAAATTCTGGGTTTTGGAGAGCTGGGATGGAATAGGGCTCCTAACCTTACAACAATGAAAGAACTCAACTAACTTCAAAGTCATGAGTTTATTTTTATAGCAACCAGGTTAACAAGAACTGAGTCAAAATGTGAGGGAAAACAAGCACCTGCAAGGAGAAATAGGACAGATGCACTTACATAGGATGGATGCAAATTGACACCACTATGACAAGTAAAGCTGGAATAATCAATAAATTCCTAAAGACAAAGTGGGGCTGGTGAGATTGGGAGACCGCTGACAGCTGCAGAAGTTGGGAAAGATCCATCATCTTGAAAACTTTTCCCCCACAAACCCACTGCGATCTCTCAAGCAATTGGTAAGGAATCCAAGAGAATCTGTTTATGATACAGATCAGGGAGAGCAGAACACTTGGGAGGTGACCAGGTCTTGGGGGCCGAGCCCTTATGAATGGGATTAGTGCCTTTATAAAAGAAGCTCAGTGGAATTCTTCTGTGCCTTCCACTATGTGAGGACATAGAAAGAAGGCACCATGTATGAACCATGAAATGGGCTCTCATCAACACTGAATTTGTGAGCATCTTGACCTGAGATCTTACAGCCTCAAGAAGTGTGAAAAGAGAAATATCTGTTGTTTTTTAGTCACCCAGTATATGTTATTTTGTTATAAGAGTCCAAATAGACCAAGATATTCCACTTAATATGCAGGGGAAGGCAACAAAAACTGCCACACTTAGAATACTCCTGATGCTGGGAGTATGAAAACAGGAAAAACAAAACAAAACTGTTCTTGAAGGTGAAGGAGGAATATCACTGAGCTCACCAACACAGCCAGGAAAAGAACAGAAGTGTGAGAAGGCTACATTCCTGAGACCCTGAGAAAAAGTACCTGCATAAGACTGAGATGAAATTACCTACTCTAGTTATAATTGAAATCCCAAAAGGAAAAGAGGAAAAAATAATGGAGCCAAAGAAATATTTTTCAAAATAACTGCCAAAATATTCTTAAAAAAGTGACAGAAAATCAAACTTCAGATATAGGAAACTCAGAGAATGTCAAATAGAACAAAAACAAATAAGAATTAAATCTTGAAAAATCTTTAAAAAATCAACTCTAAATTTTATATCTTGCTCCAAATATATAGAGATATAAATAGGTTATCTTCAAGATATGGAGAAAGCCATATCATGGAAACACTAAAATAAAGCTGTGGGAAGGACCACATTGATATTAGACACAACAGAGTTCAGAACAAGAAACAGTATCAGAGAAGAGAGATAATAGATAATATAATAATCAATTCTCAAGAAGATGTAAACATCCTACTAATTAGGGTATGCAGCTAACAACAGAACCTCCAAATACATGAGGAAAAACATGAAAGAATTCAAAGGTGAACTAGAAAAATCCAAAATTATATTTGCAGACTTCAACACTTTTGTCTTAGTAATGGAAAGACTAGGCACAAACTCAGTAATCATGTGGAAGATAAGAACAACAATATCACCAATAAGACATCCAGTCTGCAATGGCAGATACTCTTTCCTTTCAAGTGAAAAAAAAAAAAAAACAGTATGGCGTATTCTCTAACAAACCCAGAATTTCTAATATTTGCGGTCTTCCTTCCTTCTTTCCATCTTCCTTTCCCTTCTCTTCCCTTCCCTTGCCTTCTTCCTTACTTTCTTCTTTTCCTCTTCCTTTCCTTTTCTTTTTTCTTTTCCTTTCTCTCTTTTCTTTCTTGTATTCTCCTTCCTTCCTTCTTTCTTTCCTCTTTTTCTTCCTTCCCTCCTCCCTCCCTTCCTTTCTCCCTCCCTTCTTTTCTTTTATTCTTTCTCAATTTCTTGCTTTCTTTTTTCTCCCTTCCTCCCTCCCTCCTTTTCTTCCTTCCTCCCTCCCTTCCTTTCCTCCTTTTACCGTCCGTCCTTCTCCTCTTTATTTTCTTTGTTTCTCTGCATTCCTCCCTTTTACCATTCTCTCTTCCTCCTTTCCTTCCTCCCTTCCTCCTTTCTTTCTTTCCTTCTTTCTTGTGTTCTTGCTTTCTTTTTTCTCGCTTTCTCCCTTCCTCCCTCCCTCCTTCCATCCCTTCCTTCCTTCTCTCATTTCCTCCTTTTCTTTCTTCTTTCTTTCTTTCCTTCCTTCTTTTTTCTTTCTTTCTTCTCTTTCTTTCTCTTTACTACAATTCACATTATTTAAAAAAAATTAAGAGAGGGAGGCAGAAAAATAAAGAATACTTTAATCTGCAGGTAAATAGATTAAGTCTGCTGTAGACAAAGAATGGCCTCCCAAAAACGTTCATGTCCTAATTCCCAGAGTCTAACATACAAATATGTTAGGTTGCATGGCAGTAGGAAATTAGATTTCAAGTGAAATTAAGGTTGTGATAAAATGATGGAGAGATTATCTTAAATCAGTGGGACCAATGAAATCACAAGCTTCCTTATAAGTGAAAGAAGAAGGCAGAAGAAAGGCAACCATGGAGGTGGTGGCATGCAAAATTACTCAACATCACTGACTTTTAAGATACAAGAATGAGGACCCAGCGCGGTGGCTCACGCCTAATCCCAGCACTTTGGGAGGCCGGAGTGGGTGGATGACGAGGTCAGGAGATCGAGACCAACCTGACTAACATGGTGAAAACCTATCCCTACTAAAAATACAAAAAATTAACTGGGCATGGTGGCACGTGCCTGTAGTCAAAGCTACTCAGGAAGCTGAGGCAGCAGAGTCGCTTGAACCCGGGAGGCAGAGGTTGCAGTGAGCTGAGATCGTGCCACTGCACTCCAGCCTGGGCAACAGAAGGAGACTCCATCTTAAAAAAAAAATAGGATATAAGAATGAGGTCATGTTCCAAGGAATAAAGGTGGCCTCTGGATGCTGAAAAATATCAAGTACATAGATTCTGCCACGTAGCCCTCAGAAAGACTGCAGCCCTGCCCAAAACTTGATGTTAGCCCTGTGAGTCTTATTTAAGTCTTCTGAACTCCAGAACTGTAGGATTAACAATCACTTTATTGTAAGATATGAAGTTTGTGTTAATTGGTTACAGCAGCAAGAGGAAGTTTATATAGTAATTGTATCATGAAAATCAGAACCATAATTTACAACTGCTTTTAATACTGCACTTGGATGTTTGAAATCATGTACATGGAAATGTTCTCTATGTGTATGAGGAAGGATAGCAAATTGATGCCAAAATAATGCAAATGCAAATCTTACACTCATTTCTATGTAGGTTTCATTTAATCTTTGAAATTAAAATGAAATAAAAAATTATGATACTTTGATGAAATTAGACTAAAATAAACAACAAAATAAGAACTTATTTATATTCTTTATATGGTCAATAAAGAAGTGATAGTGGAAAAAACAAGATCAAATGAAGGTGATGATTTAGGAAGTTGGAAAGATAGCTGAAACTACAAAATGGTATATAACTAGTGGACACTTAGACACATTGATTGATGAACTTCAGCTTTTGGCTTGCTGAGAGCATAAAATGAGAGCAGCTGAGGTTTGCAAATTTGTAATCTCCTTGTGGAAAAACAGGCAAAAACACATCTCAGCCTAATAAGATTTATCTACTAAAGAGTCAAGACTTGATCCATTTGTCCTTGTAATTGAAAAGCTAATTCAAATACTGATTTGATGTATTGTGTGAGCAACCATTGCTGATTATCATCGCATACCTCGCAATCTCTTTAATCTGATATCTAAAATGTTTGGTAATTCCTAGACTTTCTCTTTTTAAGCCCAGTACTGTTTAATTTCAATCTTAGAACAGTTGTCTTTGAGAAATTCTTCCCTCTACTGCATCTGTGAATGGGCATAGCATGGTTACATACATACTGTCACCCCAGAGAACATTTGTTAAATTAAAGCCAAAGTTTAAAGCAACAGCTTTAACTCACTGGTTTTACTAATGTTTTCCTCCCCAATAGCCACAACAACATTGATACCCTCACACCTTTTAACATAAAGCTTGGTGTTGTCTATTTTTCAGGTGCTGTCATCTATATGGTCTCAGTATTTTAAAAATCAGCTTCCAGCCCATATGGTGGCTCATGCTTGTAATACCAGCAGTTGAAGAGGCTGAAATGAGAGGATTCTTTGAGCCCAGGAGTTCAAGAACAACCTGGGCAACATAGCAAGATCTAGTCTCTATCAAAAGTTAAAAAAAAAAAGGTGGGCCTGGTGATGTGCACCTGTTGTCCTAGTTATTTGGGAGGTCAAGGAGGAAGGATTGCTTGAGCTTGGGAGGTTGAGGCTGCAGTGAGCAGTGATTGCACCACTGCACTCCAGCCTGGGCAACAAAGCAAGACCCTATCTCAAAAAATATATATAATAAAAATAAAAATCAACTCTCATTGATTTCTACATAAATATGCACAGGTGATGTGCATACAGACATAAATAATAATATATCTGACAATGATTCCATATGATCTTCAAAATGTAAAATGCCTATCTGTGTAATTGACTGGTTAGTCTCATTAATGAATATAGATTCAATTCTACTTTCTTATTCTAGATAAATTATATAATCTAGCTTTTGGTTTCACTTATTTACTGATAACAACAGGAAGAATGACAAGATATCTATTTTGGAAAATTACTCTGGTAGGAGTAAAGATGAAACAATGATAGAATTGCACGGAAAACTAGAAAAAAGTATGGTCTTCTCATATTCTATCACATCATATACTAAAGGCCTCATAAAACTCAGATAATTTATCTAAAAATGTTATTTTCATCTTAGGAATGATCAAAGCATGAGACTGGAATTGTATTGAAATGTGCTTGTATCACAAGCACATGTGCTGAAAAGAAGGGGAAAACACTACTGATATTTTAAAAGTATGTTTTACTTTCCATCAACGTGAACCTCAACTTGATACGATGCAGATTGAAGGAAATCACCCATAATTCCATATGAAGAAGGCCTGTGATATTTTATGGGAAAATAAATAGAGAAAATGCTAACAGAAACCCTACTAAGCATGAAGCTTTATGGAGCAAAGACAAATCCAGTGGTGAAAGATACACACTCGAGTCCTGTTTGTTGTCTTGGAACAATATGGTTTAGAGGTGACTGGCGGGTGAGGAGAACATATGCAAGTTCACCAAAGAAAAAAGCTGAATGAGGCAATGCCTCTTCCTGACTATATCTCTTACTCAGATAACTATATAATTTATTTTCCAGTAAAGGGTACATTAAAAAATCATATTAAAAGTCATGCAGTGAAGTTGTCCAGGGAAATCAAGACTTAACAGTCTCACTCTGACAATAATGAATAGGGGGGTTCCCTCAAGATAGACTAGGACATGACCCCACACTGGCAGGTAGTAGTACCAGAAAAGAACCCATGGAAAATCTTTACCTTATGCTTGAGATAAGGACCAGGCTAAAGTGAAAACCAGACATAAAATTCTATCTAAAACATATCCACAATCAAGGAAAATATGTGGTGTACAGGCATAGAATGTCTTTACTGGATAATTGAAATAGTAAGATAAATTCAACTTTTTACATTGTTTTCTTTTCCTCCAGTTAGGGCTTGAGGTTTGTCTCTGGAGAGTGACTGTCACTTGGAGCCCTGCCTTTCTGGGGTTCTGGGCAGGGGGTTGTGGATGCTTAACATGTGCCTTTCACAGGACACTTCCTTACCCCAGCAGTGGCCAGGTGTGCATCCCACGACCAGGCCTCCCTCTCACAGAACATCTGTTGAGACTAGGAGATGCCTGGTGACTGTTGCCTGACCTGTGTCCTCTGTATTTCTGACAAGAGCCACTCTCAGAGACCCTGGCCAGGAGGAGAGTTAGGTTCCAGTGTAGCTCAGCTCAGACACATGGAGGCCACAGGATCAAACATGGGAAATCACAGAAGTAGGTTTATTACTCACAGATCCAGAGAGAAGAGGGTAGCTGAGAAGAGGGTTTAGCTGTGTCCCCAGCCAAATCTCATCTTGAATTCCCACATGTTGTGGGAGGGAACAGGTGGGAGGTAATTGAATCATGGGGGCAGGTCTTTCCCATGCTGTTCTTCTGATAGTGAATAAGTCTCACAAGATCTGTTGGTTTTATAAAGGGGAGTTTCCCTGCACAAGCTCTCTTGTCTTGTCTGCTGCCATGTGAGACATGCCTTTCACCTTGCACCATGATTGTGAGGCCTATCCAGCCATGTAGAACTGTGCGTCTATTAAACTTCTTTCTTCTGGAAATTACCCAGTCTTGGGCATGTCTTTACCAGTGGTGTGAAAATGGACTAATACAGTAGCATACCTCATAGGGCTGAACAAAATGGGGAAAATGAGTGGGGAGCAGGAGAGAGAAAAGGGGTCTGTGGGACTCCAGCCTTTATTGGGACCAGATCATTACCCAAATAAGTTTCCCATGGGGCTCTAGTCGGTGGAGTGAGTGCCAGCAGGCACATTTCTTGGCTCCCGCTGCAACTGAGCAGGTCACTCTGGCGTGTGGGGGCTGTCCATGTGGGCTGTGAGGTCTGTGGGGTGAGTCAGGTAGGTTGTATCCAACAGTTCTGTAGCGGGTATTCACCAGGAGGAGGCAACTGTGTAGGGTGAATTTCTGGGCCAGCCATACTGAGAAACTGTGAGGGTTAGAACTGGAAATTGTCAAGGCAATCTGAACCCAGCTACCATATGAGAGAGTTTGACTTACGTTCAATGTGAATGCCATGGCAATATTAAAAGGTAAGAATTGGCTCCATACGTGCTTGAGGTAAATAGGAGAAACCTAGAATTTATGCAAACAGTGAGAAGATTGGATGTGTTTTCCATCACATATTTTAATACTAGCAGCATATTATATATGTCAATCCATCAGGCATTCAGAAATACATGCTTATGGAAATTTTTTGCACCTTCAGACAAAAGACAAGGGTAGAAGACATTTGTAACCCTATAAACACTAGTAAATTAAAAACAGAAGGACCTTTATGTCCTAACATATTTGTGTTGGGAAAGGCTGCCCTGTGAAATATGGGATTTCTTAAACATATTTTAAAAATCATGGGTGTCAATATTTTTTAGAAATCCATTTAAATTTTCTCTTGCTATTTTACAATGCCTAATTATTTATTCAGTGGCTCTGCTGATTTTGATGTATATCCTAAACTTTACATTTTTTTAAAGGATGTTTTATACAACTTTATGTAAAATGTTTCAATGTCTTCACATTCTCTCCCTGTCCTTTTGTTTTGCTCTTATATGGTGGCCTTGAGTCTTTTCTCTGGCTTTTCAAACCTAGTAAGACTAAGACACTAAAGTAACTTTGCCCGTGGTTTGGTAATGCCTTCTAAAGCACATCCTAAGCTCTCGTGCATACAGGGGTCTCCTTTGAGCTCTGTGCTTTTGAGATCCCATATACCTAAGTTCCACTACTCCAAATCAGTACTGCTCAGTTTTAGTTACTAAGTTTAAAAATGTATTTCAATAGCAAGTTAGTTTAGTGCATTCTTGCTTCTTTCTTGACTGCTTGTATATATGTATATTCCTTTAAATGAATCTTGGAATTTATTTAAAAATTTTAAATTATACTAATGAAACTGTATATTGTTGTGAATTCATAGGTGAATTTGGAAAGAATTTGTTTTTATGATACTAAATCCTTTTTATCCAAGAATCATATGTGCCTTTATATTTATTCCAGTCTATATTTATATCACTGAGTAAATATATAGAAATGTAGATACATACAGCTGTAGTTATAGATACAAATATAGATATAACATGTTAAATCTATATCTATCCCATATAACATATATACATGTTATATGTGGGTGTGTATATATATATGTTTATGTTATTAAAGAGCTCCCTTAAAATTTTTCTTTTATTTCCTATATAATTTTAGGTCGAGCTTGAATTTTCCTTGTATAAACAAGCAAATATTTATACTAGTTTTAATACTGATGTTTAGACATTCTATCTTATTTTAGCATTGAATATTTTCACAATTATTATAAATATTATCTAATATTAATAATGTACCTGTTAAAAATATTTAAAATCTTACCTTTGAATTATTTTATTGTTGAATTTAAATTCCTTTAATATGATAGTAAATTTCTATTTTATGCTTTCTCTATGCATATGCAAGTTAATCTATCCACTTCTCTATCTCTATGTAGTAACACATGAAAATCAGGCCTTTCTTCTTCTAATGGACATACACGTTTGCATATAGAATATCAGACTCTTTATAGCATTTAAAATCTTTAAAGACATGAATATTGCCTTTTAACAAATATATTTTAGAATGTAATGAGAATCCCCTATTTATTTTTAATTTGGGCTAATCAATATGATTATTAATATTATTGGATTACCAAATTTGGAAACGCACTTTCATCCCCGAGGTGGATTTTTTTTGCCAATTTCTTGTCTTACTGTTTCAAATATTGTTGGATATTATTTTTATTTTATTTGGCATTTTAGTATCAACATTTGTAAGTGATGTACTCTACATATTTTTTCTTCAATATCTGGTGGGTTTTATAATTACAGCTATATTGGATTTGTAGTAGACATTGACAAAAATTATTCCTGTATGTTTTATAGCTATATGAAGGAAACTAATATATTTTACCCCTAAATATATTTCCTTGATATATTTCAAAATGGCTATTGAGAAGGGCTGGAAATGCAAACTTAGCTGCAAAGCTGTCTTGGGGAGATTTGCATCTTTAGAGAATCAGCCTTGATGCAGCCAGGCTTTCTCTGAGGTCTGCCCCCTTGTCTGGATCTAGGAAAGGTTAACTGAGAGTCTGAGGTCTCCAAAGGTCTGAAAGAAACATTTTCTGTCTATTCTCTCTGAGGACTGCTCCCAGTGAGGTTCCACCTATGTAATAAGTCCACTGTTGCTAGCCAGGTTCGTTTTCCCACATAACCTTTTTTTTTTTCCCTGTGATCCAAGACCCCATTCTTTCTGTAAACTTCATGTGGTAGATAAGCTTCTGCACGCATCGTGTGTCTGGGTCTTAGTTCTAAGGGCTCCAGTGTACACACATTGCAGAAACCTGTATGCCTTTTCTACTATTTATCTGCCTCCTATTAGTGATTTTCAGGGAAACTTCAGAAGGCAAAAGGGATATTCTTCTTTAGCCCATACTCAGACAAAATCCCCCAACATTTAACTGATTCCTAATAGCTTAAAATCACTTTGAAAAATCCATATATTTATAACCTTTTCTTCCCTCTATGATTTCTGGTCAGCTTGGGTTTTGTTTTTCATTCCATTTACTTCATCCTCGAAAAGATCTATTTATGTCTATTTATTCTCATTTATGGACATTGAGAAAAGAAAATAACTTTCATGTGTGAAATGCAAGTCCTTTTAAATAATCAGGCCCAGAGAGATATTCAAATGAGACAGCAGTTCTGTCCTGCTCCTCTTTGAGCTGTGTGTTCATCTAAGCTGCCGCTGTTGCCACAGTAGCTATAAATTAACCAATAACGCCACACCAGACACTATAATCCACACCCAATAATAGTGTAACAGTGTATAGCCAGTCACTAATAAATGTTATTTCCATAAGCCAATGAGAATTTGTGACAAACCTCTTTGCATCATCCCACTTCTGGACCCTTTTATCCCTTTAGGAAACTGCTTGTTGCAAAGCTCCAAAGGGAGTTCATATCCAAGGATACTTGGGTCTGTTTCTTCCAGGCAGCTGTCCTCATTGTGGTTCAAGTAAACTCTTTGAATTACGTTTTGTGCTTCAGCCCCTTCCACTTAGATTAACAACATGGATTTGTGTCACCATGTACAGCAATTAAAATGTTTACACTTTTCCCCTCGAGGGCACTGATGTGTTTTCCTGAGCACTTGGAATAGCTACGTAGTGTTTACTGTCTAGATTATGGTTTCTCAACCTTGGTGCTACTTACCTTTAGGACCAGAGGATTCTTTGTTGTGGGAGGCTGCCCTAGCAATGCTAGGTGTTTCGTTTGACCTCTAAATTTCACACCTCCACCAGTCTTGACATCCCCACAATAACCCTAGACATTGACAAATGTCTCCTGGGGAAAACTCTCCACCAGTTGACAGGCAAAGTTCTGGAAACATTGGAATTGTCAATTGAGATTTTATGTTATCCAAAACAAATAGTTTTCATTGTTTTTAAACATCTACTTCCATCTACTTATCTACTTATTTTTACTTTTATTTGTAACTTAATTCCATCAAGGAGAGAGAGTGCATTTTCCGTTATGCTAAATTTTTGAAGAATGTATTGATTTTTTATGACCTGATATATGGATGATATGTAGATATTACATGTTTGCATTATCAAATTTCAGGGCGATAATAAAATAAATACTTATAATATTTATATTGTCACTGTATATTACTTATTTTCTTTCTTCACTACAGGAGTTTTTCAACCTATAGGCTATTTTTCAATTCTAGGTTATCCAGTAGATTTTGAAATGTTATGGTTAAATATCTACTTCTCAAGCATTCATCTTTGCAAATGAAACAATCCCAAGCTCTTATAATGCACATCATATAAAGGGCAGATTAGTCAATATATGGTTCCAAAATAATTATGTAATATTTATAAGAAAATTACAAATTTAGATCCTTAACTCAGATAACAATAATCCAAATTAAAATTTGATTTCATTACATAATTTAAAATGACACCAGAATACTAGTAAAAATGTAGATAAGTTTATATAATCTATTTTAGCTGTAGGACTTTATTAGCGTAAATTCAAATACAGGAACCAAAGTAAGATTGAGACCAATAGTCAAAGGTTAAAATGTACACATTATAGGGGCATGATTAAACTAATTTAAAGCATAATAACATGGAGAAATATTGCAAAACATACATTTTACTGAATTGTTAATATCTAATCATGTGAGAACAAAATTAAAGAGTAGCTACACACGCACACACCCACACACAAGTGCAATATTGTCAAATAAACGATGTTCAGCTACACTAGAAATCACACCTGTGTTTTATCCACAGAAAAGTTTAAAAATCACAATAATATTGTACATATGGAGGTAAAGATACTCAAAATATTACCCTAAAATACATTTTTTTTAGATGGAGTTTTGCTTTTATTGCCCAGGCTAGAGTGCAATGGCACAATCTTGGCTCACTGCAACCTCAGCCTCCCAGGTTCAAGTAGTTCTCCTAGCTCAGCCTCCCAAGTAGCTGAGATTAGAGGCCTGCACCACCACACTCGGCTAATTTTTTGTATTTAGTAGAGACGGGGTTTCACTATGTTGGTCAGGCTGGTCTCCAACTCCTGACTTCAGGTGATCCTCCCACTTCAGCCTCCCAAAGTGCTGGGATTACAGGTGTGCGCCTGGCCAGCTTTTTGACATATTTCAAGATGGCTACTCGGAAGACTGGAGATAGCTTCTTCTACAAGAATAGCTGAAAAGCTGTGTTTGTTGGGGAGATTTGCATTTGTAGAGAAAATCTGCATTGATATAGACAGGCTTTCCCTGAGATATTCCCTTGTCTGGGTTTAGGAAAGATTAACTGAGCCTGGCACGTTTACACTTCTAAAAACCATTTCCTATCTATACTTCCCAAGAGGAGGGCTGCTCCCTGTGAGGTTTCATCCATGTAACAAGACCACCTCTGCTGTCAGGCTCCTCTTTCTTCCTTGTCGTCACCTGTCTTCCGCAAAGCCTGATTTACCAACCTACAGCTCTGTGTTTTCTGTAACCTGAAGACAGCATAGGCGTGTTGACTATCTTGCCTTTCCTGGAGTTTTTATATATATAGCATATTTTTGTATATCTATTTATAATATACAAATATTTGTATAGATATATTTATATATATTATGTAAACTCCAAGTGCATACTTGTGCACATATCTGTAAACCTTTTTCTCCTGTTAATTTGTACATTATCAGTTTGTTTTATAGACAAATAATTAAAGCTTCAAGGGAAAAATTTAAACTTTCCTATAGAGAAAAGACAAATATATAGGTGACAAATAATATTTAGAGTGTAAGACGCTTTTTAAAGGTATATTTGCAATTTGTGTCAAAACATTTAAATATACATTTGTTATTTTAACTATAAAATTTCAAATAATTTAAGCCAAATACATAGTGTATGCAGAAAATTTAGCAATATATCTATGTAGCACCTTACCGTGCATTACTGTAACCAGCCGTCTAATATAAAGAATTAATTAAGGTAGCAGCTAGTTTTCAAATAGCGCATTTTTTTCACAGGCATATTAAATAATACAAATAACATTTAAACTTTATTTTTAAATTTGCAGAATAGTAGTTTTCAGCGGATGGTTTATTTTAGCAAAATCCATCTTCACATTGTGCTATGCTTTTATGAGTTCCAGCTGTTAACAGATAATATTTTACTGCTGAAACTATCATGTGTGATATAATTGCTCATTATGGGCCTTAAAACACAAGCAATATAATTATTTTCAACTTGGAGCAAATTAAAATCGCATCAGCAATTTGAAAACTCTAGAGTCGTCTTCTTCTGGTTAATTATTTTAAACTTGTATTTTTCTCTTTATGTTTTTAGTGAGTTGTCTTATCAAGGAGAAGAACTCAAGCTGATTATTCTTTTTTTTCTCTTCCTTCCACCTCGCAGGTGTGTTAATAATTTCATTTCTCAGAAAATGTTCTTTCATATCCATCTTACAAGATGAGAGACCTTTTAACATCTTCCATTCGGATGTGATACGAGTAATGGAAAATATTCCAGCTTCATGAATATGGTGATACAAATAGTTATCCGTCTAACCTCTTTCAGTGCCAAATGTTTACTTGACTCAGTGAATTACTCAGTTGACTGGTAATTTCTTCTGAAATCAATAATGAGAGGATCAGAGGTCTGGCTGTTGTCTGTACCTCATATGACTCCCAGTGCAGACAATTCTTTATATGGAGCACAGACAGTTGAAAGGATTGACTTCCTGCCTAGAACAGTTTCTGCTGTGCTTCTTATCCTTCTTGTGGAGATTTCAGATTATCTGAATTGCTTTTCTTTCTTAAGAAAAAACGCAACAATTCTCCCACCTGAGAGGAATGTAAACTGTAGTAAGTTAGCAGAACCAATCCGTAAAGTTTTTACATTGTTTGTTGCAAAATGCAGCGCTGGTGTCTCCATCACTAACCTTTTCTATCCCTCGTTACTCTTTCTTTGACTGCAATAGGATATGTCTAGGCAAATCTGTATTCCCTAGACAGAGTGCCCTTTTGGTGAGCTATAAGCACACTTAATGGTAGGCTGAAATACTAGCTTTTATCTAAGGCGAAATGGAATCATATCAGTCATTTTTTTAAAAAGGAAATTTAACTCTTGCTATGGTTTGAATGCTTGCCCCTTCCAATCTCATGTTAAAATTTGATCACCAATGTTGCAGGTGGGGCTTACTGGGAGGTGTTTGGTCATGGGGTCGGACCTTCATGAATGGATAATACCCTCCCTTAGAAATCTAAAGCTATCCTCCCTCCTCGGTGCCCTCAGGAATGAGTGTACCATTCTTTATTCACCTATAATTCCCCCACCCATCCTTTTTGAGATGTTAATTACATGTATGTTACACTGCTGCATATTGTCTGACGTATCAGTGAGTTTCTGGCTTTCTTATTTTAGTTTACCCTTTGTCCTTTAGTTTGCAAAGCTTCTATTTTTTTTCTATAAATTTTCTGATGTTAGGGTAAAATCCATTACTTATTCTATCTCATGGAATTTTTATTTCAAATATTTATTTTTCATCTATGCATGTCACATTTTTCATTTTATAACTTATATTTTTCTCCTATGTTCAATTTTCATTTAAGTACCTTGACGTATATATGTATTTATCTATATGTATTTATAAAATATATTTACTTTAAGGACCTTGAAATTTCCTTCTTTTCTGTCATTTATAAATGACTTATTTTTATCCTGTTAATATATATCTTAATTATATATATCTTACGGCTTCTTTGCATGTCAGAGTTTTTTTGGGGGGGTATTTTGATGTTATGCTATTGAATATCTAGATTTTATTGGCTACCTTTGAACAATGTTGTGGCAGGCAGTTCAGTAACTTCAGGATGAGTATTTGTCTGTTGTTGTTTTAAATCTTCTCTTTAAACTTTGTGGAGTTAGTCTAGAGCCATCTGTAACTTGGAGCTAAATAAGCACTGTCACTAGGGTATGAACCTCCAGTGGTCTTTACTGAACATCCTGGAGGTACAGAGGGGATTCCCTTCTCTGGCTGGTCAGAGCTAACGTGTCTTCCTGTCATGTGATGCCAGGGAAGTGTTATTCCAACTCCCTGGTAGTGTCCTTTGCTGAGCTCCTTAGAATTTCATCCTATGTACATTTGGCTTAGGGACTTGGGAGAATCCTTAGGCTGATTCTTGGTTCCTTTTTCTGTAAAGGTTCTCTTCTACTACACATTCCAGCTGCTTAACCTTTTTTGATTTTTATCTGGTTCCTCAGTGCAATGACAATGTCTGCTCTCTCTGGGATTCCTCTCTACTGCTGTCACGGAGAATCTGGGAATAAAGCAGGACTCATTCTTGCTCCTTCTCTTCTCTTGCAGAGCACAGTCCTGTGCTGTCTGATGTTCAGTACTTCAAAACAATGTTTCATATATTTTGTTCAGTTTACTATTCTTTAACTCTAAAAGAGTAACTCCAGTTCCAGTTACAGCATCATATTCTGTAACTCTACTCCTTGTTGCTTCATTCTGCCATTGTCTGGTATGATCGCCCCTTTCCCTTCTGTAATCAGACCAAGAGCATAATATAATACTAGTTATAACTGCACAGGTTGCCTCCGTTGTGTAAAAAAATCACTGAGACTTAACTGTGTCCAACTTTTAAAAAGTGAATATAAGTACAACTAAAGCTATATTTTGGTTAATATTTGCATTGCATGCTTTTCCATTATTTACTTTCAACATATGTGAAATATGAATATAAATTATAAAAACTTTAAGAGAGTCCATTTACAAAATCTGGTCTGGTTATGTTTTACCTGGTTTAATACAACGTGCATTCTTGAATTC